>NC_000001.11:210002768-210154283 GCF_000001405.40 Homo sapiens
CCCATTTTTTTACTGTGCTGTCTTTAAAAAAATGTTTTTACACATTTTTTATGTATTTAGATATGAGCCTTTTCCTCCTGATTATGTGTTGCAAATACATTATTCCATATAATATATTATTGGGCTTGCCTAGTCATTATATCTTTTGATGATCAGAAATTTTAAATTTTAATGTAATAAAATTTATCAGTATTCTCTTGTGTGATTTATGCTTTTTATGTCTTGTTTAGTAAGAAATCCCTTGCCTTGGGATCATGAAGAAAAGTATTTGTATTTTTTTCTACAAAATTGATTGGCTAAAGCATTTCACATTTAGATCTATAGTCTATCTAGAATTGGTTTGTATGTAAATTCATTTTTCCCTTATATCCTCGATTTTCCAAGCACAATGCATTCAAAACATGATCCCTCACTCACCCACTGCTCTGCAGCCAACTTTGTCATACATCAGAATCCATGTGTGCAAGTGTCTGTGTCTGGCCTTTTGGTCTGTTATCTATTCCTGTGCCAATATCATCTAGTTTTAATTATTCTACTTTTAAAATAATTCTTGGTATCTGGTAGAGTTTCCTCCCTTTAGTTTTCATTCTGTGCCTGCCAAGAAACCTTTTAATTACTGTTTCAGCTTTTCAGGTACTCTAATACCAGGAAGATGTGTGTGTCCTGATTTCACATTCTGTTAACATTTCTGTTATTCTAATGGAGTTTTCTCCAGTTTAAATTTTATGTTGTTCATATATCCGCTGCCATTTGAATTTATTTGGATACTGTGTAACAGGATCTAACAGCTAGATTTTTTACCTCTATTCATTTTTTTTCCTCACATAGGCCCTCTAGGCCCTGAAAAAAGACAAGTTTTTGGTCTTCTAAAAGTGAGGGTAAGACAGTAGACAATGATGAACTCATCAAAGATCATACTGTTCTGGAAAGCAGCTTGCTGACCAGTCACTTGCTGGCAATGCTTCTTAACTTGCTCTCTTTAAGCCATTGCATTATATTCTTTAGCAGGATTAGGAAACCAGTTTCCCTTTTAAAATGCATTAAATATTGCCAAATCCTTACAAATAATTGGTTTTAATATTTTTTCCCACATAAATTTAATTTTATTCACAAATGATTTATTTTTTTAACAAATGCTGTTTCTGTTTGTTTTATTCTGCTTTTTAATTTTTTTTCCTTATTGTGAAAGTCTCCAAATGTATTCTTTACTAGGTGTTCTCAATTTTACTTTGAAATTGGAGACCATAATTGCTTTCATCAGAATCAGATAGCATAATAGAATGATTAGTTTTCACCAGTTAGAAACATTATACTGCTGATTTCTGTTTGACTCGTATTATATTATTTTAATTTTTTTCCTGACACATTTTACTGAGCCAACATTTTCATTAACATTTATTAGTGTTTGGCTCCTAATGGTGTAGTAACCTTGAAATTATCCATATTGAATTTCACTTTGTTTTGATGTGTTATTTCTTTAATATATTGAGGTCCTTAGTGTATCTTTCTTTCTTTCAGAGAATTAGCAATCATGCCCTACCTAGTATTCCTAGGACCTTCTACAAAATTAATGAACATATTCTCAATTCCTTTATTCAGGTCATTGGTAAAGGTATTAAGTAACACGGGTTTATATATCTCCCAAAATACCTAACTAAGATGGATACCACTGAAAGACGTGTCATGGTATACCACCAAATTTTACATCTCTTAATTTCATCATACATCTCTTAATTTCATCATTTCATTGCTTATCTTTTCTCTTTTTGATTGACAAATTCTTTCTTCAGTTAATGTTGATTTGGTGGCTGGTGACCCTTGTAGCACTACTTCTTACTTTATAACACCTTACTTATTGAAAAGTAGCTCCTACTTCATTTTAATTATTTAAAATTTGTATTTCAATCTCTAAGGACAGGACTCAAACTGTTTCTCACATGATTCTGCTCCAAAACTGCGATGCTTGTTCAGAGGTTACTCAGCAAATCTATCAGCAGCTGAACTTAAAGGATTGTATCTTTTCTCAAAGCTTTTAGAGTAGTTTTTCTTTAAAATTTCAAATATATTTGCTTTTACTATATCTGATACAGATATCATATCAACAAAAAGGTAGAATGATATCATTTTGCAAATGGAGCTACACATTTTTTATTCTAGATGCATTGAGAATGCAAGTGAGTAGAACATTCCAGTTGCTATATTCAGGTGGGAGCACAGTATGATGTTGATGTTGAGCTCTTGTCATCACTAACTGAACTATGCCGGACTCATTTATTTAGTGGATAAGAAAACATGATATGCTGGTAAGGTTAGATGAAGCTTTGATTGCCTATGTATGTGTTCATACACAGTAAATCTATTGAACCATTCAATGTTTTCAGCAAAAGCTACTTCTCTTCAAAATGGATCAGGCTTAGTAGGGGAAAGATGGTTTTAGAGTGAGCAAACAATGTTTTGATCATTTCAAGAAGAGAACCAGGTGTCCTAATATTAAAATTTGAGAGGAAGATGGTGTCTCTCTGAGAGATTTGAATGAAACTGCTTGGTATTTATCAGAATTTTGATGGGTTTGAACTAAATCTTGAAATAAGCTTATCTAAAACTGTAGTTGACATCACAGATTGGCTTTAACCAGAATATTCCCCTGCAATTGGTGTTGAATTCAAAATCTTACTCATAGTAGCTCAGCATGAAGATCTTATTGAAAAGAAAGAAAGAATCATTGAAAAAGTAAAGGAGAGGAAGCAGTGACCTTAGATATTGTCCATGCCGTTTCTCATTTAGATAATTGTGAAGGAATCCATACACATTGAATAGGTAATGAAAAAAATTGAGACAATTCGTTGTTCAAAAGAATGACTATGCTTTGCTGTAGGGAGATTTGCCAGGAAAATAAGTTTTTCTTAGTCTAAAACTTCATTAGAATCATAATTCTAAAGCCTCAATCAAGACTGTCCTTGAAGAAAAGTCTCTGCCAGAGATTGATAGAGTTTTATATTAAGATTTGGTTTAAATATATGAAGTACATTAAGTATTATTAAGTAAGAAGTATATGGTTTAAATACACTTTATATTTGGTTTTCCATACTTAATAAAAGTTTGGGTTTTCTTTTTTTTCTAATTTCTTCAAGATTGATTTAGAGTTTTTTGTTATGATAGTCAAATGAAATTTCAATTTATTGCATGTACTTAGAGGGAATACAGGTTCAATCTATTCATGGCTTGAACTGTGAAACAAATTGGGTGGCATCTGTTTTATCAACCTGTCCAGGTAGGTAACTGTTTCTCTTAGAGGGCATTTTTTTTCCCTAAGATCTTAGTGTTTCACATCACTACCATCTATGCCTTCTTCCATTGTCCCTTTAAGTTACTCACCAGTGAATTGTGTTACTTCTATCAGTAAATGCTCTTTGTAATGATTGTTTTTTATAAAATCTGGAGTTAACAGCTAGCATTGTTACATTCTTTTTTTAATTTACATATATTCTTTCCAGTTTTGCATTGTTTATAATGTAATACGAAAATTTGAGGGAAATTTTATTTGTAAACTAATTGAAATGTTATAAAAGGAAACTGAAACATACTAACCTTCTGTTTTCCTAAATTATCTCTTAGAATTATGAATAATTCTCTATGTCCAAACCCAGAGCAAAATAAATTATAGCATTTTTCTGATTAAAATATGGAGAAAATATTTACAGCTAATTAAATGTAAAACAGGTATATCTTTTTCAATGAAAGTTGACTTTGATAGTTCACATTTTGGTCAAGAGATAGAATTGCATCTATTAAATGAATTATTAAAGTATCCATGACATGGAGTTAGAGGATTAGTGTTTCATGCCCAGCAGGACAAATCAGCAATACATCCCTTATAATGCAAATTGTAAGTTGTTACTTTTTATCTTTTTAAAAAAATAATTAGATAAAGCATAGGTACTTTTTGTTTAATTTTGCATTTAAGATATAATGAATAGAATAGTCTTACAAAATTTATTTTAGAAATTATAATTAATTTGTTTTGATAGAAATATTATTTAGAGTATTATTGTGGTCCAAGTAAATCAAAATAGAAAATGTGTTGGTTTAGTAGATAAATATCCCCCATATATTTAATTATTTTCATGTATATCCTAGCATTTTTCTTAGAAAAACATTTTCTTAGCTAGAAAATGTTCTTTTGTGACAAAATATAATGGAGAATTTAAGTGAATTCTGCAATACTTTCAAAGTCGAAATGTATTTGCTCTTGCTTTGACTTTAGTAAGACTGTAATTTTTTCATTTTTTTCAATGACCAACTTATCTGTAGAAATTAAAATGAATTTTACCACTGTTACTGAAGCTTAAATTTTAAAAAATTGGTATTTTTTAAGTTTATTTTTTGTAAATACATATATTTATTTCTAAATATAAAGATATAACTGCCAAAGCCAGTTCAGTATACATAACACAAATAATCATTAGTCTTGGAAAGACTAAACTTTCTACATTTTCTGGTGAGATATTGTACCTAGTGCCCCTTCTCACTTTGCAGTATGGTCTTTAGGGAATTCATATAGTGGACGATATAGCTCACAGAGAGCAGTTAATATTCTTTATTGAGCACTACTAATGAATATCAAGCTATTTTCTATAGAGTATCTTTAGTTTTTAAATTCATATTTGTTTTATTAGCTTTTCAAATGTGGCATATAAGGAAGTACCACATATTTTGGTTTTTAAACTTAATTCTAAAATTAATTTTAAAATATTTTGAATAGTAACTTGAATAGAAAAAAATTAGAATTCCAGTTTTAAAATTCATGTATTTATTTTGAGGAAGTTGAAATTGCTTGCTATTTTTTAACATATATAAGAGCTATAAATAAAATATTTGCACATAATATATATAGTGAGCTATGTTACTTTGGTCATATAGCTTTTTCTTATCTTTTATATGCAGGTTGGCATACAAGGAGCAGTATTACTTGGTGTTTAAGATCATGGATTCTGGAGTCAGAATGTCTGGATTCAAATCCAGGTTCTACCACTTCATAGATTTGTGAACTTGGACAACTTAATTATTCTCTGGACTTCAATTTATTAATCTAAAGACTAAGATAATATTATAGTACTTATCATAAATTGTCTTGAGTGTTAAATTTTAAAATGAAAGCAATTACAACAATATCTGGCAAATGGGAAGCTAAGAGATTAGCAGTTAACAGTTTGGGTTCAGGAGTCAGTGTGCTCAAGTTCAAATACAGACTGTGTCACTGAATAATAATTTTAAGATCTTGAAAGTTTTACTTACTCTTTGTGAACCTCAGTATCTATATCTGTAAAATATGGTTGCAGTGAGGATTAAATAAGATAATGCTTGTAAAGGACTTAAAACAGTCCCTGTTAAATAATAAGCACTTTTTAAGTGTTTGATATTGTTCAGGTTGTTATTAGTTGGTCTTGGTTTTGTTGTTTACCACATTAAAACTTTGCAAATTTGGATCATGGGAAAACTTGCATTAGTGAAATTTGAGTTATTGACTGTATTCAACAAATTTAATTCTTCAAATGTGTAATATTAAACTAATTATTGGCTGTGTGCTTTTAAATAGAATTTTTTTTTTTCTTTTTGAGATGGAATCTCGCTCTCGCTCAGGCTGGAATGCAGTGGCGCGATCTCAGCTCACTGCAGCCTCTGCCTCCTGGCTTCAGGCAATTCTCCTGCCTCAGCCTCCTGAGTAGCTGGGATTAGAGGTGCCCGCCACCACACCCGGCTAATTTTTGTAATTTTAGTAGAAATGGGGTTTGCCATGTTAGCCAGGCTGGTCTTGAACTTCTGACCTCAGGTGACCCACCTGCCTCAGCCTCCCAAAGTGCCGGGATTACAGGCGTGAGCCACCACACCTGGCCTAAATGAAGATTTTGAAGATCCTCCTTAAGAGGCATGTGTGTTTTAAATAGATTTACTTTCCTGCAGTGGGTGGCCTAGAATGCTTGAAAGAAGGTATAGGTATAGATAAATTACATTATCTTATACTTATGCAGAATGACTTTCTAAGCAGATTCATAGTATACAAAGATTTTAGGGGAAATTCTACTCCTATAATGAATAAGAATATATTTTTTATTAGGGAGGTATGAATCAGTGTAATTTTTTAATTGATGGTGTACAGCAGGGGTGTCCAATCTTTTGGCTTCCCTGGGCCACATGGGAAGAAGAATGGTCTTGGGCCACACATAAAATACCCTAACAATAGCTGATGAGCTAAAAACAAATTGTAAAAAATAACTCATAAGATTTTAACAAAGTTTACAAATTTGTGTTGGGCTGCATTCAAAGCCATCCTGAGCTGCATATGTCTGGCAGGCCATGAGTTGGACAAGCATGTTGTACAGTATTCATATCTTTAGTTTAATTTCAGTGTATATCCTATTGCAGTTTTATGTACAGGTGGGATTTACCAAATGTTTTTATACTCAGAACTGTTACTGGCTGACTTCTGGTATCATAATGTATTTGAAATAATAAATATTAGTTTAGTTCTCAGATAAGGATGAAAAATAAGCCTGAAGATTTTTAGTATTTTTATTAGAAGATATTTTATTTCTTCTCTACAACCATACTACTGTTTTAAAATTATAAATAGATAAAATATTTTTAATGAATGTGAAAAACAGGCATTCAGTCAGGGTATTGTGTGAACAGTATGTTTACAGCAGGCATATTTCACCTTTTCCTAGTGGGGAAAGCTGCTTTTTTTTTTAATTTGTCTGAAGCTTTAGTATGTATTTATCTAAAGATATGTAACATAAGATATTTACCATTAATAAAGCCTGGCACCTGCATTTGCCAGCTTGGTATTATTTAGTGAGTGAAGTGTTTCATATGGAATAAGAGGAGCAAAAAAGAGGGAAAAATTTTCAAATTTTGTTAACTAACCTGACCTTTACCAGAACATCATACTCATATTTCCCTCTGTGAAATATTCTGTTGGCATTTCCAGTGTAGCATGTCAAAAACTAAATTAATTATCTGTCATTCTCCTTCTACTTTCCTCTTTCCTCCCATGCTCTAATCCAAATGCCTTTCTTCTCATATCCTTCATTTTGGTTAGTGCATTACCATTTACCCAGTCACTCAAACTAGAAACTTTAGAATTAACCTCAACTCTTCTTCTTTCTTATCCTCAACTCTTCTTCTTTCTTATCCTCAACTCTTCTTCTTTCTTATCCTCTAAATTTACATAAGTGGATCATTATCAATTTTCTTTGAACAAAGACTAGATTTTACCCTTCTCTGTTACCACTGCTACTACTTAGTTTAAGAACTGAAGATATTTTACCACTATTGACTTGCTACCATATTTCAGTTTTCTAGTTGTTTTAACCAATATAGTTCTACAAGGCAAACTTGTAATCATGTTACTCCCCAAATACAAAAATTTTTGGATGATATTCAAGGTTCTTTGACAATTTGGACCTTGCTTTCATCTCCAGTTACAGCTCCTCTGGTATATTCTTAATCTTTCCTGAATACACATACATTCATTCATTCATTCATCCATCCATCCATTTGTCCACAGATGTTTATATGTCAGCTATGTGGTGCTGTCCTAGGTACTTTGAAGATACAGAGGTAAATAAATATGACTGCCGTGATTATTGCCCATTAGTGCTTATAGAATGCCATGTATATTATTTCTGTCTTTAACCATGCTATTTCAAATGTACTTTTACTATTTATAGAGGTTCTATTCCTTTTTTATACCCTACTCAAGTGTCATCTCTTCTAAAGCGTTTTATGACTTTCTCAGGTAGTGCTTCTTTGTGCTCCAGTAATAATTTATAGTAATATCTCTATTATAGTATTTACTGTATGTTATACTTACTTGCTTATAGTGGATCTCTCCCATTAGGTTGAATTTTAGGGCAAGAGAAAGATGAAAGAGGAACGTAGAAATAAGGATTGAGGCAAGGGATAGAAAGAGGCAAGAAGAGGAGAGAAGGAAAACAGAAGCAGTATGAGTAGTATTTAAAATACAGACACTGGGGCCAGACAGGGTTTGAATCCTGATTCTTCCACTTACTATCTGAACACATAGTTTAATATCTCTTTGTCTCAATTTACAATGGGGATGATAATAGGATCATTGTGAAGATTAAATGAGTTAATGTATGTAAAGTGCTTAAAACAGTGAGTGGTGTATAGTATCTGCTGTATGGTTTTGTGCTATTTCTGTTATCAATAACTAGCTTTCTTAAGTGACATGAGCTACATTTTCTTTCATTTAGTTTTCCAAGACATGGGAGATTTTCAGTCTGCATGATATCTAATCCTTTGTAGCCACTGAAGGCATTAAATGTCTGAGTGTTTTGAGCCTGTACTAAAAGGGGAACTCCTATATATATTTTGTTATTACAGTGTAATATTGAAGTGCTACTCTTTTTTGCCTCTTCATACCAGATTCTGTCCTGCTTCTGATTTTCCTGGCTATCTGAAATGTTGATGATAATTACTCTGTTTTCATTTTTACTCCATATCTCAGGCTTGATACATACCACTGTTTTATGTCATATACCTTAGCTTCTTTTATTAAAATCATTTTCTTCCCTGGCTGTGCTTCAGCCTGAGGACAAGACAGGCAAGGCTAATGTCTGGCTATAATTTCTTGGTTCTAGGAGCAAGGCCTGTCCCTCAGCACCAGCCTGATATCCAGCTAGCACTCCTACCGTTCCTCCCGCCTCCTCCTCTCACTCCCATTGCCCCTGCCTTACAATATTACTCTCTGCTTCATCTCCTACTGCAACACCATTGACCCAGCTTTGAAAAGATATAATGTCTTATTCAATTCTATACCTGGTATACCTAGTTTTTATAAATAATGAAAAAGGAAATCAAAGCACTCATCATTGACCGGTTGTTGACTTCATTTTTAACAAATGAGTTAAGATACTATTTGCCATCGCCCTCTGATTTAAGGAAGAATCTTAGAGAAAATAACATTTTAGTTGCTGCTTGAATGATGGAGGAAGAAAAGTAGATTATACAGGGATCTTTGTAGGGGTGTTTGAAGCTTAGAATCATTCTCAACTAATACTTGAATATTATCTGTAAGGCATGGAGGATACAAAAACTTAGTTCCTGTTTAACTCCAAATGACTGATATAGGGGCAAATAATAAAAAAGTTGAAAGAGAGACTGCCGAGGACTGGAGAAGCTGTCTTTTGTCTTTTCTTGCTGTATAAAACCTCTCTAGGTGATTTCATATATTTGCTTGAGACCAAATTCTCTTGAAAATCTAGTAGCTTATCATAAAAGAATTTCATTCAGTTTCTGGAATATAATGTGATTTTCTGTCTCTGGGCTTTTGCAGATGTTATTTCTGCCTGAAGTGATTCTTACTAATCTCTTAAAATATAATCATAGAGTCCATAACTTCCAGAAAAGTTTTCTTGATCTTTCAGCACTGGAATAAGTGTTCCTGTGGTTCTCATAGTCCCTGTTCTTTCCCAATCATAGCCTTTCTTACACTATATTGTCTTTATTACACTGTGTTGTAATTGTCTTCACCAGATTGTTCAAGGAACACAGGAACTGTTTATATAACAATGCCTGGTGTATGGTTGGTGCTCCAAATATGTAAGTTGGTTGAGTGAATGAGTAGGATACAGTAGAGAGGAGTTGGTCGTTCCAGGCAAGGGAAGAAGATCAATAAAAACAAGGAGTGTGGTATTGAATATTGCGGATTCTGAGGCAATGAGTATAACATTTGACTGGAGTATAATATTGAAAAGAGAGGTTGGAGCTTTAAATGCCACATTAGGGAGTACAAAGTTTATTTACTAAGAAAGAGTGATTGAAGCTTTTAGAGATAAAAATAATGATATGTGTTCTCATAAATTTTGTTAAGTAATATATCCGTGCATCAGATATAACCTTTTTCTTTCTTTCTTTCTTTTTTTTTTTTTGAAACAGTCTCGCTTTGTCACCCAGGCTGGAGTGCAGTGGCGCGATCTCGGCTCACTGCAACCTCTGCCTCTCAGGTTTAAGTGAGTCTCCTGCCTCAGCCTCCTGAGTAGCTGGGATTACAGGTGCCCGCCACTACACCTGGGTAATTTTTGTACTTTTAGTAGAGACAGGGTTTCGCCACATTGGCCAGGCTGGTCTCAAACTCCTGACCTCAAGTGATCTGCTTGCCTTGGCCTCCCAAAATGCTGGGATTGCAGGCATGAGCCACCACGCCTGGCCTTTTTTCTAATTCTTATTTTCAAATTTTTGCAGTGCTCTTCGATGGATTAAACATATGATGATTGCCTATTTTATAGACTCCTGTCTTTTTTTTTTTTTTAGACAGTTTTGTTTTGTTGCTCAGGCTGGCACAATCTCGGCTCACTGCAGCCTCTGTCTCCCAGGTTCAAGCGATTCTCATGCCGTAGCCACCCAAGTAGCTGGGATTACAGGCATGTGCCACCATGCCAGGCTAATTTTTGCATTTTTAGTAGAGACAGGGTTTCACCATATTGG
Source organism: Homo sapiens (assembly GCF_000001405.40). NCBI lineage: Eukaryota > Metazoa > Chordata > Mammalia > Primates > Hominidae > Homo > Homo sapiens. Next base: position 210,013,278 of record NC_000001.11, read on the forward strand.
CCAGGCTCGTCTTGAGCTCTTGGCCTCAAGAGGTTCTCCCACTTGGCCTCCCACAGTGCTGGGATTACAGGTGTGAGCCACTGTGCCTGGCCGACTCCTGTCTTTCTTTTAAGATTGTTCCTATGAATTTATAAGGAAACTTAGAAAATTTGAATGAATGCTGCTGAATGAATTGAACAACTGTCATCAAACTTTGCAGTTTGTTTTTCTTATAAACGAAACTGTTTTTAAACTATGACAATTAAAAAATATAATTCAAATAAGGTAGTAAGCTAACTTAATGTTTGGGGTTTCCTTCTTATTTGTAGCTTAAAGAAAAATAAATGCTTACAGCTGTGACTTTTTTTTTCTCTAGTATCTCCAGAGGCAGTTGGATTTTTGTCAGCTGTTGGGGTGTTTATTATCTTGATGCTGCTCCTTTTTCTCTATATTAATAAGAAGTTCTGTTTTGAAAATGTTGGCGGGTTTCCAGATCTTGGTTCAGAATACAGTACAAGGAAGAATTCACAAGATAAAATTTGTAAGTATCGTATTGCTGCTTCTCTTGTTTGTTCTTTTTATCCGTACTATTATTTACTTATTTTAATATATGCAATAAAAAGGTTGGTTGTGACATACAATAAACTAATATTTGAGCTACTGTTCTGTAAAAGATCTGTTAAGTAAATTATGTTCAGGTATTCTTCTGTTGTTTATGAATTGCTGTTACATAAAGGTGAATTGTCTACTATGACAAAATGACATTTTAATTTTTCGTATGTAAGATATGCTTTTGAGCCTATAATAGGAGCAGATACACTTGAGGAAGAAGGAGGTATCTTGTTACTTTGTGTAGTGTACTTCCATTGTCCAAGTAGCTCTTTAGAGAGCTTTTTTTCTCCATATCCCTAGAATGCTTTTGAAAGTATTCACCCTTTTTCTTTACCTGCTATTTAATTTTCAGCTAATGGGTAATTTTATTGTTTGGAGGAGTTGGAGGTGGTTTTACTTAGTAACTTAATTTATATATAAATTCCGATGATAAAAAATAGTGTTCCACTCCCTCCCTTGGCACCATATATTATAGTGTTACTAGATACTAGGAAAGATGAGGGCTGTAATACCATTCTTTCTCCTATGGAAACATTTTCCTTGGAGTGTTTTTTTTTTTTTTAATTACTACAAGAGTTTTAAAAATTTTCTATTTCCAAAGACTGGTTTATAAAAATGATAGCAGAAACAAATTGGAAATTATAAAAGCAAAGTGTTAATTTAGAAGAATGTGACAAAAAATAGCTGAGAAATCTGGCTTTACTTGTCTGTGTACCTGTGTTGGAGATATGCTTTTCTCTTACATTTGATAACTTAAAAGGCGATAGCCCCATTACTTATAAGACTCTATTAGTTATTGAATTATATTTTGTGACTTTTGCATTAAGAAACTATAAATAGTATTTTATACAGTTTTAATTTGGTTAAGTTCAGTGTTTCTCATATTCCACTCCAGTTCTGCTTTTTGATCATTTGTGCAGAAAGAACTGGCTAAAAGTATCTCTTTACTGGCCTTTGGTAATTCTCTGGTTCAGCATTTCTGGTTTTTCCTTTGTTTAATGACAACTTTGTACTTTTAAATTTTATTGAGTAGTCCCAAAGAGCTTTTTGTTTATGTGGATTATATCTATTGATATGTACCATATTAGAGTTAAAACTGAGAAAATTTAAAAATATTATTTACCAATTTAAAACAGAAAATTTAAAAATATTATTAATTTATTTTTTTAAAAAAACAAGACTATTACATGTTAATATAAATATCATCTTTAAATTTTACAAAACTATTTTCCAAAACAAAAAGAAAATGGGGAAAAAGTGGTGAGAAGAGTGATTTTGTTTTATACTTTTTACAAATCTTTTTAATGACTAGCATAATGGAAGACAGCTGGATTCTCATTTCTGCCTCTACATTCAATCTGTCATGTAGCCTCTGGATAACTCCAGTGTTCACTTGTGAGCCAATGAGAATGAAAAAGTTAAGTACTCCCTTGCTGTTATTGTAAAACTAGTCTTGACCTTGAGGATCCCTTGAAAATGTCTCAGGGAACTTAATTTTTCTGAGCCTTGTTTTTCTTTCACTTATTAAATAGGAATAATAATATTTACCTCCTAGAATTACTGTAAAATCAAGTAGGATAAAATGTGTCAATTACAATGCCTTGCATATAGTAGCCACTCAGCAGGTGTCCACACTTCCTCTCCCCTATTCTTACCACTATGCAAAATTGTTTAGATATTTCTCTTTAATATTTTTCTTAATGTGAAATGATACTGGGTAGTTTATTAGTAAGATAGGGTAGTTCCCTTACGTAGACTGTTAATAAGCAAACTAAAAGTACATAATAAAAATCCTTTTTATACTTCTTTTTTCAGGTGTAGAATAAAAAACCAATAGTATTTGAGGGAAAAATATTGTCTTGCTGCTGTTATAATAGCTGTGGAGTGAGAAAAAATGTCATAACGTTTAAACCAAGTGGTTTGATTTTTTTTTTCCGGAAGAATCTTTACTTCAACATATTTCTTTCAATGCATAATGTATTTACAGAAAGATTAAAAGCTACAATGTGAATTGCTAATATTGAGCTGACGAATAGCAACATTTAAGTAAATGTTAAATTCAAGTTCCAAAGTGGTTGATATTTTCAGAAGAGAAAATTCCATTATTGCACCTTTTAGGAACAAGGAATTAGAAAATGGCATTTTTCAGAAATTTCCAACAGAATCTGCCTTCAGTGTCCTCTCTAGTAGACACAATCAGTAGTGCTGTAGAGGATTTGACCACTGCTGTTGGGGAGGTCAGCTATGCTTTAACTGACTCAGTTGCTGAGCAGGTAACAAGTATGATGAGTGGCTTTCGCCCAGAAGAGGAAAGCTCTGTAGCAGAAGAAGCTGTAGACACTTCTAAACAAAAAAATGCCGGGTTAACAGAAGTCTCCAAAAACACTAATTGTCAGAAAACACAAGCCAATTTAGAGCATAGAGCAAAGCAAATAAATACTTGTAAAACTTCACTAAAGCAAGATCAAGGAATACATGAAGAAAGAGTATTTAAACATGTTAATGATAGGCAACAAACTCTATCAGAATATCAAGACACTGGTAATACTGGTGATTCTTCTTTGAAAGGCTACATGAATAATGGTGGGATATCAGTTATCAGACAGAATACAAGGGCTGGATCTATTTGTCAAGAACTTGAAAGTACTGACAGATGTAAAACAATTGGAGTAGGAATTTCCAATAATGGTAAGAATGATTTAAAGGAGGTAGGATATCAAGAAATGAAAGGAAATCAGAAGAATGCCAACGGAATAAACAAATTGTATGAGCAAAAGAAATATGTTGGTACAGATAATTGTAAAAAGGAGGAATATTCTAAATCTCGACATGTATATTTGGGAAGAGATCAAGAGAATATGGGGCATTTCAATAAATGTAAACATCTTCCCGATTTAGGGCATTCAGATCATTTAAAGAAAGCTGAAAAATGTGTTAAAAGTAAAGCATCCAAAGGGAATGAGTGTTCAGGAAATGAATGTTCTTTAAAAGATATTTTGACAAGCAATAGGCATATGACACAGAAATCTATTATAAAAGAAGACATACATCCAGCACCATCAACTAATTCTAAAGATAAGTTATCTGGGAAAATTGAAGAACAAATAAATTCAACGAAATACTGTAAAGTGAACGAAGACATAAAACCAAAGAAAACTGAGGCCATTTCTGCCAAGAAAGGAACAGCAAAGAGTAAAGATGAAAAATATTCTAAGATAATACCAGAAAAAGGTGAGGTCTCCTAATGTTGGTGTGAGTGATTAAATTTTCTCTTGATTTTTTTTAAATTAGTAAAACATCATCCAAATTTCTCAGCTTTCCTGTTCATGTGTCTATATTTAAGACTTTCTTGAATCCTTTTACTGGGAAACATTTTTAAAGCCATTCAGTATTTTTTCTAAAATCATTTCAAGAGCATTCATGTTATTTGTCCCACTAAGTATTGCCCCTGGTCCCTGCATTATTTGGCCAACTTTTCAGCAGCCCTAGTTTTTCTTAATGTCCATTTATTTTACAACCAGAAACTCCATGGTTTTCTTACCTGCTTTATTTGGAGTTTATTTGATGTGCTGTAGTTGCATTTGAAATTTTTATATAACTAACTCTGAAGCCCTTTATACAGTATTGCTCTTTGCATCTATCCAAATTTATATCAAATGTTTAATTATTTCTTTGAGAGCAATAGATTTTATTTTATTCAATAATGTGGTTCACAATGTATTTTTATTCATTTCGCCCATACATTAAAAATTTTATATTACTGCCCTGTTTACAATAAGTATACGTGAATAATCTATTATTATTCATGAGTTCTCTATGTAGAATTAGGATTCTGACTAAGCATTTATAGTTTTCAATCACAGTATTTGTGATAATTTTCATTATTCACAGTATATGTGATAATTTTCAATATTCATTAGCAGCTCATACTGCTAATAATTACTTCTGGTAATCCCTTAGTCATATCCACTTATTGCTGATCTGATCACAAGGCCAAAAGTACACTGGCTTTTATTTATAAAATACACATCTGGAATTTTTCTCTAAGTTCATACTCTTGTAAAATAACAAAAAGCAGAATAGCGGTAATGAGGAAGACTTTTCAGTTCTGCTACGACTACATACATAATAGGGATCTGCTATTTATCTATTATATGAGTGGTTTTACAGTGATATAGGAGAGGCTAATCCAGGATGGATGAACTAACTTAAAAGAAATGTCAGTTTCTGAAAATGTATCCATTTTGGAGTCTATTTTTCTAGCAGTTTTTTGTTTTTTGTTTTGAGACAGAGTCTTGCGCTGTCGCCAGGCTGGATTGCAGTGGTGCAATCTCGGCTCACTGCCATCTCTGCCTCCCGGGTTCAAGCGATTCTCCTGCCTCAGCCTCCCAGGTAGCTGGGACTACAGGCACGCACCACCACGCCCAGCTAGTTTTTGTCTTTTTCATAAAGATAGGGTTTCATCATGTTGGCCCGGGATGGTCTCGGTCTCCTGACCTCGTGATCCACCCGCCTCGGCCTCCCAAAGTGCTAGGATTACAGGTGTGAGCCACTGTGCCTGGCCATTCTAGCAGTTTTTTGATTGTCAGATTTAGTGATCTTTGGTAGGCCTAGTTTAGTTCTGGTAGACTTACTGCTTAAAGTAGCAAAAATTAAAAAATAATGTAAAATAGTTTACATATTATTTTATTCAGAAAATAATGATAGAATGGATACTAGTAATAAGTACATTACAAATAGCATGTAGGGTTTTTAACTTTTTAAATTTGTTTTCATTAAGAAGCATGCTAGTACCTAAAGAAACCAAATATTTCTAACATATTCCACAATATAGTCAGTACTAAACTTATACACGCAATGTTCCCAAATGATTTTCAAAAATTGTTTGACACATAGATTAACCCTTCATTTAGCTGAATGGTAATATTACTGGTACCTGTGTTCCAGGTTCTGACACAGGGTTTATAAGGTATAGAAAAAGGGGGAAGGCCAGGCACGGTGGCTCACGCCTGTAATCCCAGCACTTTGGGAGGCCAAGGCGGGCAGATCACGAGGTCAAGAGATCGAGACCATCCTGGCCAACATGGTGAAACCCCGTCTCTACTAAAAATACAAAAATTAGCCGGGCATGGTGGTGGGTGCTTATAATCCCAGCTACTTGGGAGGCTGAGGCAGGAGAATTGCTTGAACCCAGGAGGTGGAGGTTGCAGTGAGCTGAGATCACGCCACTGCACTCCAGACTGGCAACAGGGTGAGACTCCTCAAAAAAAAAAAAAAAAAAAAAAAGGAGAAAGGGTTTTCTTCTTTATTTCTAAATGTAGGTTATGTTAGGTAATGTTTTTTAATAGGTGAAGTTTGACCACAGACTAGTTACCCTCCTCAAGAGACTCAAAACCCTCTGCTGGTTTAAGATCCCCACCATGGTATCCCAGAAAGTGCTAACAGCTCTGCACTGGGAGTCAGAGGTCTTAGGCTCGGCCATCTCATTGTTGTCTAATAGTATTTTCTGCAACAATGAAAAAGTCTTATATCTCTGCATTGTTCCATATAGTAACCGCTAGCTGCATGTGGCTGTTGAGCACTTCAAATGTGGCTAATAGCATGGGGAACTGGGTTTTAATTTCTGTTTAATTTTAATTAGTTTAAATAGCCACATGTGACTATTGGCTACATATTGGGCAAGCACTGCCACAATATATGACATTGGTGATGGCGTTACCCATTTATGGCTTTATTTTACTGATTTAAAAACTAGGACTAGACTAGATGACATATAACCTCCTTCTAACTCTAAGCATTTAGTTTCTGTCCTGTATTTTAAAAATTACTTATCCTGTAACTCCCACTCAAATTTCAACCTCAATTTCTTTACTACAGATGCTTAACTGACTATAAAGAGAAAAATAACCAGATTGAACTAATGAATTTTAACTACTGTAGTCTCTTCACCTTTCTAGAATTGTTTAATAATTCTAAGAAAGTTACACCATTGTGCAGTTTCAAAGTGGTTACCTTTTTAAAAAACTGGTAATAACTAGTGCTTTTTAGAACAATAAAAAATTTAGACCTCCTGAAAGTTTTGTTTGAAATTTAGGTATATTTAAGTAAAGTTTTCCTAGAAATTCTGCCTTTCACAAGCAGTAAGTGTTAACAGTTTGGTGTATATCCTTCCAGATAGTTTTGTCTGTGCATACCTATGTATGCATTATGTGTGTGTATATGCCACATGTGTGTGTATATATATTTTTCAAATGGGAATATAATTATAACTTCTACTTTTTTACCTCCTTTTTTCTCATAACATGATATTGTAGTTATTCTTTCCCTGAGAGTTCTTTTAAATTCACATCCTCATTTTTAATGACTGCATAATATATCATTGAATAGATACATCATAATTTATTTAAACAAAGCTCACTGATGGACATTTAGGTTATCTCTTTTGCCATTAAATACAGTGCAGTGAATTGTCTCAAAAATATATCTTTATTCATCTGTTAATTAATTTCTTAGGCTGAATTCTTAGAAATAGAATTGGTAAATTCCTGGAAATGGATCAGATTATGCAGATTTAAAAGTTTGATATATTTTGCCAAATTGCTCTCTAGGAAAGTAGTATCAGTTATAATTTCACCAATAGTATATACCTGTCCATTGCTGTATTTTACTGCTAGCACTGAGCATTATCCGTTTTGAAAATTTTGACCAAAACGAGAACCAGAAATGTGTCTTTTAATGTGAGTTATTTGAATCAGAGCTATAGTACTGGCAATACTTAGAACTTCACTTGTGTGTTACTTATACTTTAAAAAATGTAAATTGGTATTATAATTTACTTTATATGTAACATGGTTGAAAAATCCCTGTGACTAACAAACATTATTTATATAATAGAATATACAAACTGATCTTTTTCCAAAGCTTGGGCTTCTTATGTGAAAAAATTGTATTTTTTTAAATCTGAAAATTCAGGTTGTGTATAATATATATGTGTGTGTGTGTGTATATATGTGTGCATATATGTATATGTGTGTGTTTATATATATAACTTCAGCAAATTTTCTATACTTTATTGTGTAAAAATTATCATTTGACGGGCCCAGTAGGGCCAGGTGAGGGGAGGGAATTTTTTTTTCAATTACCGTTTGTTCTTCATGTCATTCCAAATAGATAATTCCTACATGGACAAAGATGAGCATGGTTCATCCTCTGAAAGTGAAGATGAAGCGCTGGGTAAATATCATGAGGCCTTATCCAGAACACACAATTCCAGACTACCACTGGCAGATTCTAGACAAAGGAACTATGCTTGGGAAACAAGGCAGAAATACAGTCCTCTATCGGCAGAGTATGATGGATACAGTAGTGAAGCATCAATAGATGAAGGTAAGATGGGCTGTTTTATTTTTTTTACATGACACACTATAGTATTTGATTACTTGTGCCTGAAATTCTAGGAATCTGTGGTTGCAGAATAAACAAGAGAGCACATACAGTACAGTCACATTTCTGGGAATGTAATTTATTCAAATTTGTATCTTTGGGCTCAGGCCAAAAATCAAAACCAATACCAAAACACCCCAAAGCAAAAACCAAATAATTTACGTAATGTGTTAATTGTAGCTCTTATTTCACAGTGAACATATGCTTAGCAAGCATGATATGAAAGATGTGAATCTGCTGTTCTCTCAGATGGAATTGGTTTCTCTATACCTGTTATAGGAACTGATAGAGTTTAAGTCTCTCACGGTGTTGAATATGATTCCAGTGTGTAAATGTATACTGTCTCATTCAATATGGCTCCTAAACACCAGCCAAATGTTGCACATGGCAGACAGCGGAAGAAATGGTAATCTGTTTTGTGCAGAAGGGAAAACTGTCTGAGATGAATTTATTGAGAGCTAGTACTATATTATACCATTCTTTAAAGGCAATTTAAGGTATTTTCAAGGATTTCAGTAATTTGAAGGATTATTTGTCTCTAACTGATTTTGTGTTATGTGCTGAAATTGACTTTAGAACTCAACCTATATAGAAGATGTCAGTCCACTTATTCATGTTTTTACGTCTTTCTGTGACATAAATAAGACAGATTTTGCCATTAATTAAAGCATATTTATTTCCACATTTAAATAAATTATTCACTTGCTTAATAGAATGTATGGCTACTCATCATGATTATTATCTTTATACCCAGATATGAGGGACAGAATAATATATCCTAGATATCATTTTTATCATTATACATAAACACAAGCTATCCTTGATTTTGTAGCTGTGACTTAATGTTTTAGGGCCTATTACTATTGATGACTTAAAGTTTTATCCCAGCATGTACAGTTGTCAAAGGGGGTAAATCACCTATTGCTGTATTTGGCTTCATGCCAACTAAAGATTAGTGCACCTCAATTCTTATGTCTGCTAGTACACAGATATAATAATAAATTAATCAAATACTGAATGATTACTATATGGTCATTATGAGATTCAAGGGAAGAAGTAAAAAATATCTGACAGGTACTCTACCCTCAAAAATACATTTTAGTACTAGGGAAAATAAGACATGTGCTTACTAAGTTAATTAAATAATACAAAGCAGTAAAACCAGTCCCCAAGTTATGTACACCCCTGGTACATGAATAGTAGAGCAGGAAGAGAATGTGTTTTGAGATCTGGTCCTTGTTAACATTCTGGCCATATCTCTTAATATATTAGCTGTGAAACCTTTGGCAATATAGTTCATTGTTTTTAGATTTCTTTCATTGTCTGTAAAATATGAATAAAACTGAACTGGCAGGGTTGCCATGAAAATTAAATGATATATGTGGTACAGTTTTTAGCATAGTGTCCGATAGCTAATAGGTAAGTGATCAGTAAATGTAGCCAATTATAATGGTAGTGAAAAGAGTGACGGTCATGAGCAAGCCCTGAGTGTGCATTCCCTTTTTGCAGGTACGTTTCGGATTTATTTTCTATTCATTTCTCTTTCCTCTCACCCCAACTCCCCTCTGCTGTCTTGAGCACTTCTCGGTAGTTCTGTTAGTCTAGCCTGACTTTATAGCCTATGGAAAGAGCAGTGAGGAGAGAGGTACACAATCTAGGTGCTTCTACTATTCTTGCCCTAACCTCTGCAAGTGGTCCAAGTGCCCCAGAATCACCTTCTCATTTTATTTTACCCATATATTTAGGACCTATCCTGTACTTTTTTACACATTTCTACCCTCAATTATTTGATGAAACACTTAATTTTAGGCATTCTGAGATTATATTTATTTATTTTGTAAACACAAAAAGCTTTCGTGAACGCTTTTTAGCAGTCATACACTGCTAGATACTGTGGATATGAAGATCATAAGCTTGTTTATCTCAAAAAACCTACTGACTGGAGGAGGAAAATCAGTGAGTATATACGTAATATGATGAGAGGTCTGTTAGTCACATGAACAAAGTGCAGTAGAAATATAGAGGAAATTAAAAAAAGACAAACTTTCTTGAGATGGAGTCTGACTCTGTTGCCCAGGCTGGAGTGCAGTGGCACGATCTTGGCTCACTGCAACCTCTGCCTCTTGGGTTCAAGAGATTCTCCTGCCTCAGCCTCCCGAGTAGCTGGGATTACAGGCGCCTGCCACCATGCCCAGCTAATTTTTGTATTTTTAGTAGACACGGGGCTTCACCATATTGGCCAGGCTGGTCTCGAACTTCTGACCTTGTGATCTGCCCGCCTCGGCCTCCCAAAGTGCTGGGATTACAGGCATGAGCCACCGTGCCCAGCTGACAAAACTTTAAAAATCAAAAATAAAAAAAGATACAGAGAGTAGGAGGTGATTTCGATTTTGGGAAGTAGGAATCTGAGGAAGTCTAATGGGGTCTAGGTGAGTTAGACTTGAGTGAGAATTATTTCAACAAGCATGGAATAGGGCTTTCATGCAATCATGAATCCAAAAGAAAGTGTATTTCAGTGCCTGTAACTTGGGATCTTTGTTTGAAGAAGGGGATTGCCTTGCTCAGTAGTTTTTAAGCAGGAGAGTGTGATAAAATGTAGCGAATATTTCAGGGATAGAGAGAAATCCACTTGACTCCAACATAGGTGCATTTATACACATACTATCTGTATACATTAATCAAGGTTTTTAAGCAGGAGAGTGTGATAAAATGTAGAGAATGTTTCAGGGATGGAGAGAAATCCACTTGGCTCCAACATAGGTGCGTCTATACATATACATCTGAGGGAATAGAAGATAAAATTGAAAGGAGAGATGAAGTCTAAGGCCTGGAGTGCCCCCTGACTAGGAAGATAGGGTTTAATTTGTTTGCCAGTGAGAATTTGCTGAAAAGTTTTTTACTAAGGAACCATAATCAGGGTTGTGCTTTAGAAAGATTAATTTAGCAGCAAGCAGACTATCAGAAAAGATATCAGTTAAGGAGATCTTTGGGGTAGTATATGTGGAAAATGATAAAAGTCTGAATTACAGTAGTGGCAATAGAAATAAAGGAAGATAGGAGAGAGATTATTGAGGTAGAACTTACTGGATTTAGGAACTGAATGTGTTTGGAACATTTGGAAGAAGAAAGGAAGCATCAGAGATGACTGATTTCCTCATGTATGATGAGGAGAATGATGATGTCATTAATATAAATATGAAATCCAGAGAGGGACCTGTGTTTGGTTGGAAGTGAGCAGTGAATAAGAGATATAATAAGTGATTTTACATATGTGATGAGGCAGGATATTTAAGCAGTTGGAAAGGGCTGTCAAGCTTGTAATCATGAATGCGTTTCAGGGAGAAGTTTTCAGATCGTATATGCTTAGAGAATAGAAACTATGGGCATGAATTAAATTGATGAAGGAGAATGTGTGGAGAGAAAAGATCAGAGAATCATTTCCTTTGACAGGAGAATTAAGGGCATCATGTAAAGACACAAAGAAACAGTAAGAGATAAAGAGGAGAATCAGGAAAATGTTATATTTTATCAGCCATGGAAGAAAAGTTTTAGAAGAAGAAGGAAGGCAGCGTGGTTGGGGAGAATGATAATTCAGATAAACCCCTTTGTCCAGTAGAAGTTGAGCAATCATTTTCAATTAGAGTTTTAGGAGAGTAATAAGGAAGTCAGATTGAATGTTGTTAAGGAGAGTATAAGTGGTAAGGAAGTATACATTTGCCGCCTTCACTTTCTTAGCATCTATTCTCTCCTTATCAACTTTGAGAGTCAGAGAGGTAGTTGGGGGGTTTTGTTTGTAACCCAACTGTTCACCTTCTTCCTGCCACCCACTGATACTCTCCTCTGGTATATATTTGGGAAGGAAGGGGATTTGCGTCTCCACCTGGTGGTTGCCCCTTGGCAAAGCTGCGTCTGCAGAAACTGCTGCTTTGTGGCTGATCACCCACCTAAGAGAACTGCTGGGCACAGTTCTCTTGGTAGGACTTCATTCATTTTCCTGTGTGAATAGAAAATAAATGACACACAAGGAAAGAGATGAATAGAGTAAGTTACACTTCTTATTGCTGTGACCCTTTGGTCTGCATGTGACCATCACACAAGTTTACAAAGGTTAAACTTGACTAATGTGAGTTAACTAAAGGGAATCACAAGGTAGAAGGAAAAATATTTTAAAATATACAGTTTTTACATGGCATAATATTTACCTCATTAATGCTAATAAGGAACCTTTAGTGTATTTCTCAACAGCCTGAGTAATTCCAGTTGAGAAGCTTTGGAACAGCCAAAGCTTCTCTACTCCTACAAATCTGCAGGAGTAGAGAAGATTAGAGAGGACCTGAAGAGGTATTAGGAGAGACCAGTGCAAGAGAACTTTTACCAGGTAGCGAGTACTGCCATTTATTGAGTTCCTACTACGTGCCTCAGTCTGTTTCTGTTATGCTGTCATATTTAATTTTCATTGCCATGTATTGTGGTAGGTAAGATTCTACAGAATTTAAGTGACTTTAAGTTGATTTTTTTAACCCAAAGTCACACAGCAAGATAAAAACTATACTTGTCAAGTTGACAGCGAAATTAATGTTATTTGGCTTTCATTAGGTCATCACTGCTACTTTAGTAGTCTCCCTAAGTCTATTTCATACAAGATGAATCCCTTCAGTTGGTCCTTTAGAGCAGGTTATATGTTATAAATCTGAAATACACATATTCTAGAAAAAGTAGGAAAATGTAATGGCATATTTGTTGATCATGTTTTCTCCTCTAGGTGGCCATATTAATCTTCTGGGTTTTTTTTTGGAACTACAAAAGGGATGATATCTGTAAGAAATTTTTCTAGAAAAAAGAAACATTAAAATAATTTATTAAATCCTTTTGTTCACAGTTTTAATTTATTTTTACTGTGTTGTGCTTAAAATTAAGGGCATTTTCTGATAAACCTCTCTTATTTTTAAAAAGGTCAGTGTCAAAATATGGTTCGTGGATATCCCATTTAATTGATGAGCTAGACCAACCTCTGAAATTTCACTCATGCTAATTAATACTTTCTATTTTTATATTAGGAGAAGCTTATTAAAGATGATTCTATATGAAGATCAAGTTCAGTGTAAAATTACTAGAATGTCTTTTGTTATTGATAGCTTTTTATTATTAGTTTACCATAGAGATTACGTAGCTATACTTATGTATTATGGAAAGCTGTATTATTAAATTTACATTATTTATTTTGGGAGCAAGTTAATGTAAAACCCACTGAAAAATAATTTTCAGCATCACTTATGTCTTAGGGTATATAGCTTACACACACACACACACACACACACACACACACACACACTCACCCCTACTTGTCATTCTCTTTCTGTTATAGCTATATCACAAACTTCATTCTATTAATTTTGTTATCTTAAAATTAGGACTACCAAAATACATTTATTTATTCCTTTTATTTATATTTTGCTTTTATAATAATTTAATATTTAAGAGTAATAGATTGTTTATATTTCCTTTAAGTCCATTTTAACTGTTATATTAAAAATTGTTTTATTAATTTTCGTAATTTCTTTGCAAAGTGGAAAAGTACTAAAAATTCTCTCTGTATTTTCCAGAATTCTTTGATATAAAAATAGTGTAGTGACTTTGCATAGTTAAAGTTAGGTATATTACATTTGACTCTTGAATAACCCAGGAGTTAGAGGCACTGATCCCCCCATTCAGTCAGAAATTCACATATAATTTTTGATTCACCAGAAACTTAACTACTGATAGCCAGCTGTTGACTGGAAGCCTTTATTGATAATATTAAGTCAATTAATGCATATTTTTAATTTTATCTGTATTTATGCTGTATTATTACAGTAAAGTAAGCTAGAAAAAAGAAAATGTTATTAAGAAAATTATAAGGGGACTTGGGCGCAGTGGCTCATGCCTATAATGTCTCTACAAAAAATTTTGAAAAACTAGCCGAGCCTAGTGGCCCATGCCTGTAACCTTAATTTCTCAGGATGCCAAGTCGGGAGGACCACTTAAGCCCAGGAGTTTGAGGTTGCAGTGAACTGTGATCATGCAACTACACTCCAGCATAGGCAACAGAGTGAGACCCTGTTCCCAAAAAAAAAAAAAGTCATAAGGAAAAGAAAATAAATTTACTGTTCATTAAGTGGACATGGATTATCAAAAAGGTCTTCATTCTTGTCTTCATGTTGAGTAGGCTGAGGAGGAAGAGGAGGGGTTGGTCTTGCTGTCTCATCCATCCCAGAGATGGATGAAAATCTATTCATAACTACACTCGCACAGTTCAAACTCCTGTTGTTCAAGGGTCAACCATACATGTTTATTTAGATTTTGGGTAAGCTTTTTTCTTAATTTCAGATTTTTGTTTATGAACATCTCTCCTCTAAGGAATTCTTTATCGTGTGTATTATTTTTAAAATATGGCCAATTTGAAGGGGAAATAATCTTGACTCTTTTTACTGCATCTTTGGTGTTTTGGAGATCTTTTTATGTGATGGGATTAATTCCTCCCAATAGTGTAGAATTTTATTTTATTTTTTACATCTACAGTATTTTTCCCTTTTTATTCCTTATTGTGATAAGATATATACATCACAAAACATCACTTTAATAATGTTTAAATGTACAGTTCAATGTCATTAAGTGTATTCACATTGTTGTACAACCATCACCACTATTCCATCTCTAGGATTTTTTCATCATCCTAAACAGAAACTTTATACCCATTAAAAAATAAGTCTTTATTCTGTCATCCCAGCCTCTGATAACCAATATTCTACTTTCTGTCTCTATGAACTTGACTACTCTGGGTAGATCATATAAGTGGAATCATACTGTATTTGTCCTTTTTTTGTCTCGCTTATTTTAGTCAGCATGATGTCATCAAGATTCATCCATGTTGTAGCATGTATCAGAATTTTATTCCTTTTTTTTCTTCAATTTTAAAATTGTGGTAAAATACACATAACATAAAATTTACCATCTCAACCATTTTTAAGTGTGCAGCTCAATAGTTTTCAATTCTATTGTTGTGCACCATCACCACTATCCATCTCTAGAACTCTTTTCATCTTGCAAAGCTGAACTCCATACCCATTAAACAACTCCATTCCCCCTTCCCCCAACCCTGGCAGCCACCATTCTACTTTTTGCCCCTGTGATTTTAACTACTCTAAGTACCTCATATAAATGGAATCATACCCTATTTGTCTTTTTGTGACCAACTTATTTCACTTAGCATAATGTCCCCAGTTTCGTCTGTGTTACAGCATGTATCAGAATATTCTTCCTTTTTAAAGCTGAATAATACTCTGTTTTGTGCATGTGCCATACTTTGCTTAACCATTTATCCATTGGGGGACACTTGAATTGCTTCTGTGTTTTAGCTGTTGTGAATAATGCTGCTATGCACATGGGTGTACAAATATCTCTTTGAAACTCTTCTTTCAGTTCTTTTGAGTATGGACCCAGAAATGAAATTGGTGGCTCTATGGCAATTCTATTTTTAATTTTTTGAGGAACTGCCCTACTGTTTTCCACAGTGACTATACTATTTTACATTTCCTCCAGTAGTGTACAAGCGTTCCAATTTCTCTGCCTCCTAACCAACACTTATTATTGTCTGTTTTTCCAAAATAATAGCCATTCTAATAGGTATGAGGTGATATCTTACTGTAGTTTTGATTTGCATCTCCTTAATTATTAGCGACACTGAACATCATTTCATGTGCTTATTGGCTATTTGTATATCTTTTTTGGAGAAATGTCCAAATCTTTTGCCCATTTTGGAATTGCATTGTTTGTTGGTTGGTTGTTGAGTTTTAGGAATTCTCCATATATTTTGGATATTAATCTCTTATCAGATATATGGTTTGCAAATATTTTTTCCCATTTTGGGATGGCATTTTTTACTCTATTGATAGTATCTTTTGATAGACAAAATGTTTTAATTTTCATGAAATCCACTTTTTGTATTTTTTGTTGTTTTCTGTGCCTTTGATGTCATATCCAAGAAATCTGCCAAATCCAATGTTGTGAGGCTTTTTCCCTATGTTTTCTTCTAAGAGTTTCGTAGTTTTAAGTCTTATCGTTATGATGTGATCCATTTTGAGTTAATTTTTATATACGATATTCGGCAAGGGTTCATTTTCATTCTTTTACATTTGGATATCCAGTTTTCCCAGAACATTTGTTAAAAAGGCTCTTCTACATTGTGTGGTCTTGGTCCCCTGTCAAAAATCATTTGACCATATATGCAAGGTTTTATTTCAGGACTCTCTGTTTCATTCCATTGGTCTATATGTTTGTCTTTAGCCAGTACAACAGTGTTTTGATTACTGTAGCTTTATAGTACATTTTGAAATCAAGAAGTTTGAGTCCTCCAGCTATGTTTCTCTTTTTCAGAATTGGGATCTCTTTGAGATTCCATATGAATTTTAGGAGGTTTTTCTATTTCTGCAAGAAATGTCATTGGAATTTTGTGGAGGTGGCATTAAATCTGTAAATCACTTTTGGTATTATTGACATGTTAACATTAAGTTTTCTAAGCATCAACATAGTGTGCCTTCTCATTTATTTATTTATGTCTTTAATTTCTTTTGGAAATGTTTTACAGTTTTCACCGTACAAGTCTTTCACCTCCTTAGTTAAGTTTGTTCCTAAGTATTTTATTCCTTTTGATGTAATCGCAAATGGAATTGTTTTCTTAGAAATTTCTTTTTCAGATTGTTCATTATTAGTGTATAGAGATGCAGCTGGTTTTTTTAGTGTTGACTTTGAATCCTGCTACTTTGCTGGATTTGTTTATTAGTTTTTTTTGTTTTTGTTTTTGTTTTTGTTTTTAATGGAGTCTCGCTCTATTGCCCAGGCTGGAGTGCAGTGGTGTGATCTTGGCTCACTGCAGCCTCTGCCTCCTGAGTTCAAGTGATTTTCCTTCCTCAGCCTCCCGAGTAGCTGGGATTACAGTTTCCTGCCACCATGCCCATGCCCATGCCCAGCTAATCTTTGTATTTTTACTAGTGATGGGGTTTCACCTTGTTGGCCAGGCTGATCTTTAACTCCTGACCTTAAGTGATCTGCCTGCCTCAGCTGCCCAAAGTGCTGAGATTATAGGTGTGAGCTACTGCACCTGGTCTGATTTGTTTATTAGTTCTAGCAGTTTTTTCTAAGGTGGAATCTTTAGGATTTTCTGCATAGAAGATCATATAATCTGTGAGCAGAGATAATTTTTTCCTTTTCACTTTGGACACCTTTTATTTCTTTTTCTTGCCTAATTGCTCTGGCTAGGACTTTCAGTACTATTTTGAGTTGAAGTGGTGAAAGTAGGCATGCTTGGCTTTTCCTTGATCTTAGAGGATAAGGTTTCAGTCTTTTATCATTGAGTATGATGAGGTGAGGAGTGTTTTAGGAAAGCATGTCAACTTTCTCTGTTGTTGGGATTCATGCATGTCTGTGTGTGGCTGTTGCACAGGGAGGAGCGTCTGAGAGAAGATCACTCACAAGAACAGTTTCTTGAGAGAGGTTTAGGAACCAGACATGGTGAACTTGGCTCAGTAATAAAACTAATTAGTATGGGAAGGCAGTGTTTTGTTTGTTTTGTTTTGTTTTGTTTTGTTTTGTTTTGTTGAGACAGGTTCTCACTCATTTGCCCAGGCTGGAGTGCAGTGGCACAATGATGGCTCACTGCAACCTTGACCTCCTGGGCTCAAGCAATCTTCCACCTTGGTCTCCTGAGTAACTAGGACTACAGGCGTGCACCACCATGCCTGTCTTTTTTTTTTTTTTTTTTTTTGGTAGAGATTGGGGGTTTCTCCACGTTGCCCAGGATGGGGCAGTTTTCAATATAGCTTGCTATCTGTATCTGTTGATAGTATCATATGGTTTTTCTTCTTCAGCCATATGTGATGGATAGATTACATTCATTCATTTTCAGATGTTGAACCAGCCTGGCATACCTGGAATAAAACCCAGTTGGTTGTGGTTTTTATTCATTATTGGACTTGATTTGCTAATGATTTGTTTGGGATTTTTGAATCTTTCTTCATGGAGATATTGGTCTGTAGTTTTCTTTTCTTGTAATGTCTTTGGTATTAGGGTGATGCTGGCCTCATAGGATGAGTTAGGAAATATTCACTCTACTTCTCTCTTCTGAAAGAGAGTGTACAGAATTGAAGTAATTTTTCTCATAAATGCTTGGTAGAATTTACCACTGAATCCAAAATTTCTGCTTTGGAAAGTTATTAATAATTGATGCAATTTTTAAATAGATACATACCTATTCAGGTCGTCTGTTTCTTCTTGTGTGAGTTTTGGAATATTGTGTGTTTTAATGAATTGGTTTATTTCACCTAGGTCATCAAATTTGTAGGCATAGAGTTGTTTATAATATTCCTTTGTTATCCTTTAATATCATTGTGGCCAGTTGTGGTGGAGATTGCTATCTCTTTCTCAGGTTGTTTTCTTGTTATAGCTTTTACCTGATTAATGCCTGAGTTTTGTGAAGAGCAAGGGGGCCATTGTAAGACCTCAAAAACCTGTTTTAATAAATCCTGTAATGCCCACCTATTGTTGTTTAGGGATTTTTTCTAAAAGAAGGTAACAAGAAGGAGGGGAATTTATTCTTTCTCTCTTTGCTATGGACTACTATGCACTTTAGCATCTTCAGGACAAATAAGGGACAACTAGCAGAGAATGACTATGCCCGGAAGTAGAACAGGAAAGTAATACCTGGTGGAGCATTTAAATGCCATGGCAGAGTTAAGTATCTTCCTTTTTTCTCTTCTTCATATGGTGATTTTTTTTTCACAGAGAAGGATATCATTGGAATCAACTGAAGATGCTAGATTAAGAAAGATTAAGTACACTGCCATCTAACTCAGATATTTTTGTATAGTACCGACATAACAGAATGGTATCAATGCAGTTGAATTTCAGTAGCATACCAGCTGCTTCCATAGCCTTAGGAAAAATAATTAAATAAGCAGTGTTTTCTACCAGTTCTTCCTACTTTGGTCTCTTGTATTACCTTTTTATCACCATCTTTTACCTTTAGATTGCCCTAAGCACTTCATCAGGTTTGTCCCACACCAGGTATCTCTTACTCTCAAATCATGTTTTCCTCTCTTGCCAGTAGAAAGATTCTTTACCACTAGAAGTTTCCAAGTTATCATTTATTTCCTTTCTAAAAATGGAAGTAAAAAGGGGGAGCAGAGGAAAACCTAGCTTGAGTTAGAGTATTAAACCATGTGAAATCATACTTGTTTGTTTATGATATTAACTCCTCATACCTGCTTCTTTCATTTTTTCATTAAAGTGACTCTGACTCTAGTACCCAGTAAAAAAAAAAAACCCATCATTGAGAAGTAGAGTGTAAATATTAATAGTTACAAATAAATACTGTAGCAGAAGAATATATCAATTCTGTTTTTTTATTTAAATACTTACTATGAAGACAATAATTAGAAACTGATTAATTTAGCTATACTGTTCTCCTAGTTTACTCTTCCATGTTTTCCATTCTACTAATTGTGATAGAAGCGTACCTATACGTTTGCACTATTTATTTAAGTATTCTCAATTTGTTCATAGTACTCCCCAAATTATTGCATTTTCAATTTTTTTTTTGCCTTAAAACTGAGTTTTAATACGGGACAGGATCATTCAGATATTCTTTCTTTCCAGTTACTGCTGTCGTACAAACTAGAATAAGAATTAGGGGAGACAAAAAAAGTAGAAGTCAGTTATAATAGCAAAAACCTACACTGAAATGTTCAGATGATAATGTCAGAAGAACATGTCCTGTCTGTCCTCTCTTGAGGCAGATATTAATCATGGTTTGAGTTTTGAGAAGCAAAAAGAAAAGAGACCTGACTGAATGCAAATTTTATTGGACAATAGGGATAGACCATGAGAGTTGAGTTAAAGATATAAGTATATAAATTATACATTATGGTAATATGTTTCTCTGGCTTCATTCATGTTAAATAATTACAGAGCCATTTTAAAGAGGTAAATATCAACTGAATATCATTAGTTTTGGGTGAAATGGAATTGAGGTTCTATTTATTTTAATGTGTAATTCTGAAAAATCTTTCGTCTAAGCAGTCTTCATGTGGAGCTCTCTTTTTGAGATTTCCTACCTTTGAGAAATAAATTACATTGAAATCTTTGATGTGTGAGTCAAAAATTACCTTGAGAATATGAGGTGTTTTGACGCCTTAGAATATCTCTTTCATTTTGCTTGATATGTACTCATAAGGGTAAAGATTTTCCTAGAAGATCAGATTATATTTCAGTCTGAGTTGTTGAAATGCCATCCACCAAAAGTAAGATCATTTAAATGGATTTTGAGTCTCAGTAAGGCAGTTATTTACTATCCAGATAGTTATGAAAAAAGCTTTTAGCTTTTTATAATTTAACCAATCTTTTAGTCATTGTGCCTTGATTTTAGTAGGTAAGTGAAAAACGTATCATGGGATTTTGGTCATTGGTAACTTTGGAAATGCTTCTTTAAGTATAAATTTAATAAAGCATAACACTTTATAAGGAAAATATTTACACCCTTAAACATTTTTACTTGTTTCTCAAAGAAAGAATATACCCTTAAACTTTTTTATAATTTCATAGTGAACAGCTTTTTAAAGATGATGGATTACAATATTTTGGAAGTCTGAAAAATCTGTATTTTTAGTACACTAATAAAAAGTATAGTTCTGCAAATAACAATAGCTATAATTTATGAATGATTATGTGGTAAACACTATTGTAAACATTTTACATAAATTAACTAATTTAATCTTCATAATAACCGTTAAGAGACAAGTTCTGTTAGTGTCCATATTTTGAAGATGAGGAAACTGAAGCACAATGAGGTTAAGGAACTTAGGTCTAAGGTTAATACAAGTGTATGGCAGGGCCAAAATTTAAACACACAGTGTCTGCCCTCAGAGCTAATGCACCAAACTTCTCCACTGAAATAACTTAGATAACATAATATGAGAAAATGTTCTTTTGTGTAACTGTTACACCCAAGTAAATCTTTATTGCTGCTTTATTTTTATTGTGTAAGTAGTACATGTTCATTATAGAAAAATCAGAAGTTAAATTTTATATAAATATATATACATATATTTTTAAATAGATGTAAGGGGTACAAGTACAGTGTTGTTGCATAGATATATTGCATAGTGGTGAAGCCTGGGCTTTTAGTGTAACCATTACCCAAATAGAGTACATTGTACTCATTAGGCAATTCTCATCCCTCACCCACCCACTTTCCCTCCACTTTTCTGAATCTTCAGTTTCTGTTATTCCACTCTCTATGTCCAATTTCTATGTTCAGTTTCTATTATTACACTCTCTGTGTGTAAATATTACCTAGCTTCCACTTAAAAGTGGGATCATGCAGTATATGACTTTATGCTTCTGAGGTATTTTACTTAAGATAATGGCCTCCAGTTCCATCCATGTTGCTGCAAAAGACATGATTTCAATTTTTTATGGCTGAGTAGTATTCCCTGGTATGTGTAAACCACATTTTCTTTATTCAATCCTCTGTTGATGAACACTTAGGTTGATTCCATATTTTGCTACTGTGAATAGTGCTATGATAAACATAGAAGTGCAGGTATCTTTTTTGATATAATGATTTCTTTTCCTTTAGGTATATACCCCAGTATTGGGATTGCTGGATTGAATGGTAGATCTACTTTTAATTGTTTCAGAAATCTACATACTGTTTTCCTTAGAGGCTGTACTAATTTACATTCTCACCAACAGTATATAAGCATACCCTTTTCTCCACATCCTCGCCAACATGTTATTTTTTGACTTAATAATAGTCATTCTGACTGGTGTCATATGCTTGTTGGCCATTTGCAAAATGTACACCTTCTTTTGCAAAATGTGTATTCATTTCCTTTGCCCACTTTTTAATAGGGTTATTTGAGGGGTTTTGGTTGAGTTGTTTGCATTCCTCGTAGATTCTGGATATTATAACTTGTCTATCAGATGCATAGTTTGGAAATATTTTCTCCCATTTTTCAAGTTGTCTGTTGACTGTGTTGATTGTTTTTTTGCTGTGCAGTTGCCTTTTAGTTTATATAGTCCCATTTGTCTATTTTTGTTTCTGTTGTTTTTGCTTTTGATGTCTTAGTCATGAATTCTTTGTCTAGGCCAATGTCTAGAGGAGTTTTTCCTAGATTTTCTTCTAGAGTTTTTAAAGTTTCCAGACTTGTGTTTAAGTATTTAATCCATCTTGAGATAATTTTTTTATGTCATGAGGGATAGGGGTCCAGTGTCATTCTTCTGCATATAGCAGAGGAATGGAAATCCAATTTTCCTAACACCATTTATGGAATAGTGTGTCATTTCCCCAGTGTATGTTTTGGTTGACTTTGTTAAAGATCAGTTATTTCTGGGTTCTCTGTTCTGTTCCATTCATCTGTAAGTCTATTTTTGTACCAGTACCATGCTGTTTTGGTTATTATAGCCTTACAGTATAATTTGAAGTCAGGTCATGTAATGCTTCTAGCTTTGTTCTTTTGCTTAAGGTTATTTTGGCTATTTGGGCTTCTTGTTGGTTCTATCTGAATTTGGGGATTGTTTTTTCTAATTCCGTGAAAAACGATATTGTTATTTTGTTGGGGATTACACTGAATCTATAGAACACTTTGTGTAGTATGGTCATTTTAATAGTATCAGTTCTTCCAATCCCTGAGCATGGGTTGTCTCTCCATTTGTTGGTATCATTGACGGTTTCTTTCATTAGTGTTTGGTAGTTTTCCTTGTAGAGATCTTTCACCTTCGTGGTTGAATGTAGTACTAGGTGTTTTTTGTTTGTTTGTTTTTGTTTTTGTTTTTGTTTTTTGTAGCTTGTTATAAATGGAATTGCCGTCCTGATTTGGATCTCAGCTTATTGTTGGTGTATAGAAATGCTGCTGATTTCTGCTCATTGATTTTGTATCCTGAAACTTTACTGAATTTATCAGATCTTGAAGTCTTTTGGAGGAGTCTTTAGAGAGATGATTA
The DNA here is from genome assembly GCF_000001405.40 of Homo sapiens. NCBI lineage: Eukaryota > Metazoa > Chordata > Mammalia > Primates > Hominidae > Homo > Homo sapiens. The sequence goes on from NC_000001.11 coordinate 210,036,348, forward strand.
TTTTAGGCATAAGATTATATCATCAGCAAATGGAGATAATTTGACTTACTATTTTCCAGTTTGGATGACCTTTCTTTCTTTCTCTTGCCTGATTGCTCTGCCTAGGACTTCCCAGTACTGTGTTGAATAGGAGTGGAGAAAGTGGGCATCCTTGTCTTGTTCCAGTTCTTAAGGGGGAATGCTTTCTTTTACCTATTCAGTACGATGCTGGCTGTGAGTTCGTTGCATATGGCTTTTATTATTTTGAGATATGTTCCTTCTATATCTGGTTTGTTGAGAGATTTTATCATGAAGAGATGCTGAATTTTATCAAATGCTTTTTCAGCATCTGTTGAGATGATAATATAGTTTTTGTTTTTAATTCTGTTTATGTGGTGAATCTCATTTATTGATTTGCATATGTTGAACTATCCTTATATCCCTGAAATAAATCCCACTTGATCGTGGTGTATTATATTTGTGATGTACTGCTAGGTTCAGTTTGCTAGTACTTTGTTGAAGATTTTTGCATCTGTGGTCATTAGGGATATGGATCTGTAGTTTTCTTTTTTCATTATGTCTTTGGTTGGCTTTGGTGTAAGGGTGATACTGGCTTTGTAGAATGAGTTGGGGAGGATTCCTTTCTTCTTGGTTTTTTGGAAGTTTCAGTAGGATTGGTATCAGTTCTTTGTATGTCTCATAACATTTGGCTGTGAATTTATCTGGTCCTGGGCTTTTTTGTTGTTGTTGGGAGATTTGTTATTATTTGTTCAGTCTCACCACTCATTATTGGTCTGTTCAGAATTTCTGTTTCTTCCTGGTTCAATCTTGGGAGATTGTATGTTTCCAGGAATTTATCCATTTCCTCTAGGTTTTCTAGTATGTAAGTGTAGAGATGTTCATGTAGTCTCTGACAATCCTTTGCATTTCTGTGGTATCACTTATAATGTCTCCTGTTTAAAATTTCTGATTGTGCATATTTGAGTATTCTTTCCTCTTTTGTTTGTCTTGGTAGCAGCCTATCAATTTTGATTATCTTTTCAAAGAACTACGTTTCATTTGCATGATCCTTTGTAATTTTTTGGTCTCAATTTTATTTAGTTCTGCTCTGATCTTTGTTATTTCTTTTCCTCCAGTAATTTTGGGTTTGGTTTTCTCACTCCTTAAAGTGCAACATTAGGTTGGTGATTTGTGATTTTTCTGTTTTTTTTTTTTTTATTGTTGTTGTTGTTAATATAGGTACATAGTGCTATAGACTGCCTCTTAGCATTGCTTTTGCTGTATCTCAGAGGTTTTGGTATGTTGTATCTCCATTTTCATTCATTTCAGAAATATTTTAAATTTCTATCTTAATTTTGTCATTGATTCAAAGATCGCTCAGGAGCAATTTGTTTAATTTCCATATATTTGTATAGTTTTGAGCATTCCTCATGGAATCGATTTCTAATTTTATTCCACTCTGGTCGAGGAAGATATTTGATATGATTTTGATTTTTAAAAAATTTATTGAGACTTGTTTTGTGGCCTACTATATGGTCTGTGTTGGAGAATATTCCATGCACTGATGAGAAGAATGTATATTCTGTGGTTGTTGGGTAGAATATTCTGTGAATTTCTGTTAGGTCTATTTAGTCTAAAATCCAATTTAAGTTCAGTGTTTTTCTTTGTTGATTTTCTCTCTCGATGATCTGTCTCATGCTATCAGTGGGATGTTGCAGTCCCCCACTATTATTGTATTGCTGTCTGTCTCAGATCTAGTTATGTTTGTTTTATGAATCTGGGTGCATATAAATTTCGGATTGTTACATCTTGTTGAATTGACCGCTTTATCATTGTATAATGCCCTTCTTTGTCTTCTTTTATTGTTGTTGATTTTAAAGTCTGTTTTATCTGATATAAATGTAGCTATTCCTACTCACTTTTGGCTTCCATTTGAATGGAGTATCTTTTTCCACTTCTTCACCTTCAGCCTACAAGTGTCCTTTCCAGATAGGTGGGTTTCTTGTAAGCAGCATCTGGTTGTGTCATGTTTTTTACAAATCTGTTCTGCCAATGTTTGTCTTTTAAATGGAGTATTTAAGGCATTTATGGTCAAGATTAATATTGATATGTAGGGTTTCTTCTTGTCATAATGTTTACTGTTACCTAGTTACTTTGCAGTCTTATTTGTCTAATTATTTTATAAGATCTATGAGTTTTATACTTTTGTGTGCTTTTATGATGGTGAGTATCAATCTTTCATTTCCATGTTTAGAATTCCCTGGAGTATTTCTTATAGGACTGGTTTAGTGGTGATGAATTCCGTTAGCACTTTCCTGTTTGGGAAAGACTATTCTCTTTCATTTATGAAGCTTATACTAGTAAAATAACAAATTCATGGTTGACAGTTTTGTTTTTAAGTCCGAAAATGGGACCCCACTCTCTTCTTGCTTATACAGTTTCTGCTGGGAAGTCTGCTTTTAGTCTGTTGGGATTTCCTTTATAGGTGTTTAGATGCTATTTTCCTCCCAACACTAGGATTTTTTCCTTCATATTGACTTTAGTCTGATGACTATTTGTCTTGTGAAGTCCTTGCAATGTATTTTCTAGAGTTTTCCGAGTCTCTTGTATCTGGATGTCTGAATCTCTAGCAAGACTAGTGAAGTTTTCCTCAATTTTATCCTCAAATAGATTTTCCAAACTTTTTGCTTTTTCTTTTCCCTCAGGAATACCTATGACTCCTAGGTTCTGGTGTTTTACATAACTTGATACTTCTCAAAGGCTTTGTTCATGTTTTAAATTCTTTTATTTATTTTTGTCTGACTGGATTAATTCAAAAGACATATCTTCAAGCTCTGAGATTCTTTCTTCTGCTTGGTCTAGTCTGTTTTTAAAGCTTTCAGCTATGTTTTATAATTCCTTCAATGAATTTTTCACTTCTTCCAGACTCTTGGGACACTCAGATTGGTGAGACACTGCTGTCTAGCCTGCAGTGTAGCCAAGAGCTATAAAAGATGCCTGCCCTTAGGCTCACTGCCAAAATAGCTGTAGTGCAGAATCTCCTGCCTCAGCCCCAATCAAGATGGATTAAAGACTTAAACGTAAGACCTAAAACCATAAAAGCCCTAGAGGAAAACCTAGGCAATACCATTCAGGACATAGGCATGGGCAAAGATTTCATGACTAAAACACCAAAAGCAATGGCAACAGAAGCCAAAATTGACAAAAGGGATCTAATTAAACTAGAGAGCTTCTTCACAGCAAAAGAAACTGTCATCAGAGTGAACAGGCACCCTACAGGATGGGAGAAAATTTTTGCAATCTGTCCATCTGACAAAGGACTAATATCCAGAATCTACAAAGCACTTAAATTTACAAGAAAAAACAAACAACTTCATCGAAAACTGGGTGAAGGATATGAACAGACACTTCTCAAAAGAAGACATTTATGTGGCCAAAGAACATATGCAAAAAAGCTCATCATCACTCGTTATTAGAGAAATGCAAATCAAAACCACAATGAGATACCATTTCACGCCAGTTAGAATGGTGATCATTGAAAAGTCAGGAAACAACAGATGCTGGAGAGGTTGTGGAGAAGTAGGAACACTTTTACACTGTTGGTGGGAGTGTAAATGCGTTCAACCATTGTGGAAGACAGTGTGGTGATTTCCTCAAGGATGTAGAACCAGAAATACCGTTAGACTCAGCAATCCCATTCCCAAAGGATTATAAATCATTCTACTATAAAGACACATGCACACATATGTTTATTGCAGCACTGTTCACAATAGCAAAGACTTGGAACCAACCCAGATACCCACCAATGATAGACTGGGTTAAGAAAATGTGGCACATATACACCATGGAATACTATGCAGCCATAAAAAGGATGAGTTCATGTCCTTTGCAGGGACATGGATGAAGCTGGAAACCATCATTCTCAGCAAACTAACACAGGAACAGAAAACCAAACACAGCATGTTCTCACTCATAAGTGGGAGTTAAACAATGAGAACACATGGACACAGGGAGGGGAACATCACACACTGGGATCTGTCGGGGGGTGAGGGGCTAGGGGAGGTCTAGCATTAGGAGAAATACCTAATGTAGAAGACGGGTTGATGGATGCAGCACACCACCATGGCACGTGTAAACCTATGCAACCTTCACGTTCTGCACATGTAACCCAGAACTTAAAGTGTAATTTAAAAAAAAAAAAGAAACCAAAGTGATATTAGCTCTACATAGATGTTTATACATTGTTCATTTATACATGTTACATTGTCCTTATAAATAAATGGACGTAGGATCAGACTTTAAAATCTAATCTGTGTGTAACTATAGGAGTTTCTGAACTTAGTAAGAATTAATTCTATGTCTTTATGGTATGCATCTTCCAGCAGCACTGGTTCCTAAAGTCATTTAGTCAGGAATCCCCTGTAGTCAAAATGATCTTTGAAAATTCCTAAATGGGTTTGTGTATGTAACTGTATAATAATTCTAAAGTTTGAAGACTATTTGGTCTTCTAAAAATGAATAAAAATAAGCTCTCAATGCAAACAAATAAATAAATAAAAAGGGGTTCTCTATTTAGGGCCTGTCTCCAGCCCCAGATAGCTGGGCTTCCATGATCTCTGTTCTTCTACGGGAGTGGCCTGCAGTGCAACACCAATATGGTGCCTGTGGTGGCTTCCATTGCCACCTTTAGTTTTTTTCAGAGCCAGTAAAGGCTGCAGTTACCATAAGGAGCTACACAAAGGAAATGTGGGCAGTCAGCAGATGGCCTCAACCTGGGTAGGACAGATGGACATTGAACATTTGCCCACTGGGATGCCGGTGCCAAAGATGTCTCCTCTGATGTTGGGAAAACATGTAAGGATAGGGCCTAGAGAACTGGTGAGTTTAACAGCAGTCCCTACCCAGGGCTCCTGAGGGAGCCAGATAGGAGGCTTTAGGTCAACCCTCTTGAGTCTTTGTGGTGTTCAGCAGGAGGGACTTATGGTGGCTACTTGCTTGGGCACCAAACAGCCTGAAAGAAGGTTTCCAAATGAGGAAATCAAAGCTATACTCATACTGTGTGGCTGAATGTCAGCCCTGAGTTGATCACTGATTTTAATTTGATTATTAGTTAAATAGGTGAAGCCCTATAATTTACAAAAAATTTTCTAAAGGAAGCATGCATGTGGGATGCAGAGGTGAATATATGCAGTACATTAATGCTTAATATTAATAACTGTTACTAGGAGATGTATAGCATACACTAAGTGAAAAAAGCAAAGTGTAGAACAATTCGTATACTATACTACCTTTTATCTAGAAAGGGGGAATATGTTTGTATTTGCTTATTGTTAAAAACAGTAGAAGAAATCATAAACTTAAAAATAAATACTCATGAGGGAGGAAACAAGGTGGAGGAGACAGCAGAGACCCTACTACTTGGGTCTGGTGAGACAGAATACTCTTACAAGTTAGGCAAAGCAACTTTATTACTCACAGATAGGCAGCAGGATAAACAGAAGCCAGGGATCCATGGTGAGCCAGTCCCCCAGGATTTAGGAAAGCTGCCCTAGGTAGATAGAGTCTTGTCTGTGTATGCCTCTTGTTGCAGCACAACTGAGGGACCTCAAAAGCACTCTGCTCTGGGTTTTATATCCCAGCATGACTGGGATCACTGAGCCAAGCGTTGCTTAGTGATAGGAGGAATGAGGAGCCTGGGTTTTTCTGGACAGTTTCTTACCTTAGGATGTTGCATTCTGAGTGCATTCTACAGTTATTCTCACAACTGCAAGCAGGAGAGGCAGGGGAAGGGCTGAGTGGACCAAGGCCATCTGGGGACCTGTCCTCCTGCATGGACAGGGATAGAAACTAGACTTCTGTGACAAACCTTGTTTACATAGTAATAAAGCAAAATTAAATTTACAAACACATTTCCTAAAACCAAAAGCACAGTGAAACAAATGAGCTTAACCCTGTCTTGAATTACTTTAACCATACAGAGAAGGATGTTTAATTAAAAAATAAGTGGAAGTTTCTTTTGCTGTGCAGAAGCTCTTTAATTAGCTCCCATTTGTCAATTTGGCTTTTGTTGCCATTGCTTTTGGTGTTTTAGTCATGAAGTCTTTGTCCATGCCTATGTCCTGAATGGTATTGCCTAGGTTTTCTTCTAGAGTTTTTATGGTTTTAGGTCTTACATTTAAATCTTTAATCCATCTTGAGTTAATTTTTGTATAAGGTGTAAGGAAGGGATACAGTTTCAGTTTTCTGCTTATGGCTAGCCAGTTTTCCCAACACCATTTATTAAATAGGGAATCCTTTCCCCATTGCTTGTTTTTGTCAGGTTTGTCAAAGATCAGATGGTTGTAGATGTATGGCGTGAAGGCCTCTGTTCTGTTCCATTGGTCTATGTATCTGTTTTGGTACCAGTACCATGCTGTTTTGGTTACTGTAGCCTTGTAATATAGTTTGAAGTCAGGTAGCATGATGCCTCCAGCTTTGTTCTTTTTGCTTAGGATTGTCTTGGCTATACAGGCTCTTTTTTGGTTCCATATGAAATTTAAGTAGTTTTTTCTAATTCTGTGAAGAAAGTCAATGATAGCGTGATGAGGATAGCATTGAATCTATCAATTACTTTGGGCAATATGGCCATTTTCACGATATTGATTCTTCCTATCCATGAGCATGGAATGTTTTTCCATTTGTTTGTGTCCTCTTTTATTTCCTTGAGTAGTGGTTTGTAGTTCTCCTTGAAGAGGTCCTTCACATCCCTTGTAAGTTGTATTCCTAGGTATTTTATTCTCTTTGTAGCAGTTGTGAATGGGAGTTCACTCATGATTTGGCTCTCTGCAGGGGCAGATTGTAGAACCTTTTTCAATTCATTTCTTTTATTCTGCTTTCAAAGGATTTGATCCAATACAAAGCATGAAGCTACATGTGGTGTGTACAGAAATGATACCTTTCCATTAAAGGAGAAAGGCTTCAGTAGGTAACCATGGAAACAGCCTAGTATCTGTTCCAATTTCTAAGAGAAAATCTTAGTCTTCTAATGAAAACCTACCAGATAGATATATTTCTACTCCAACTCTCTAGTTCTAACATTCTAAAAAGTTTTGGAATCTTTGTTTTACTGAAAAAAAAAAGTAAAATATGTGTGTAAAAAAAAATAAGTGCAAGTTGGGTTAATTGGAAAATGTTGTTATGGTAATCCAAATGGCATATAGTTGTCTCTACTACCGTGGTAACACTGGGGATAGAAGTAAGAATTTGAAATATATTTTGGAACCAGAATTAACAAGCTTGGATGCAGTATGGGGGCTGACAGAAATTGAGAAATCCAGGATAGATTTCTGGGTTTTTGTTTGAGCAACAAACATAGTATGAGAAAGAGTAGGGTAGGCATAAGGATTTTCTGGACATGTTAGGACTTTGAGATACTCACATAGGATATGAAGTTGGAAGTTCACTGTGAGTCTGTTTACTCAGAGGGAATATCTGGTCTGGAGATAGGAATCTAATTATTATCACAGTATATATGGTATTTAAAACCAGGTACTCTATTTTTATTATATACTACACTGCAGTTGAATCTGTCTCACAGACTATTCCAGATTTTTTATTAGGATAATACCGAGAATTTCTGTAATATGGGCATGGAGTGTATTTTTTCAGAAATCGTTTAAAATATACTTTTGCATTGGTTTCTCAACTTAAAGCAGTTCCCCATTCTTTAGGAACTATCTTTTAATTTCTAGCAGTAGACCCCAGAAGTTATGTCTGTATTTCATGGCCTTATCTCCACTGCTGTAATTGGCTGGTTGGTGCCAATGTCGTAAATAGAAGGTGCATAAACATCTACTTTTGGATCCCTGGAGAAGTCTTGGTTCAAGCACTTTTTGAGGCTTAGTTTTTTAATCATTTACTGGATTGCATGATGCACCTTCCATTTTTCTCATACTTTTATTTCCTTTGTGTTAGAATTCTAGTTCAAGTTGGTTTTGTTTTATTTAGTTTTACTAATACAGAAATAAATGTAAAGACCCTTGTGTTTTACTACCCGGAACTCATAATAAGTTTAGATAATGTTTTGAAATCTCTAGAAATTTCACTTCAACTTTTTACTCCATTTTAAGCCACTGCTGGCATCTTTCCTTTTGTGGAAAGCTTATTCGAAACAGTCTTTTAATGAATCAAAGCCATAGGAATCTTGTTTCAGCATCGAAACTTATTAGGGTGCTTCTGCCAGGCAATGTGATAGATATGTTCTTTCTGGATCTTGTAGTTTTGATATTAAAGCTATCTCGCTCCTTACACATTTTTCTTCCAAGAATAAAAGTATCTCTGAAGATTTCTCTTTTCTTGGAATTTCCAGATAATGATTTGTATTAGGCTCTTCTCATATTACTATAAAGGAATACCTGGGAGTAGGTAATTTATAAAGAAAAGAAGTTCAATTGGCTTACAGCTCTGCAGGCTGTGCAAGCATGGCACCAACATCTGCTCGGCTTCTGCTGAGGCCTCAGGGAGCTTTTACTTACGGTGGAGCATGAAGTGGGAGCAGGCACATCACATGGTGAGAATGGGAGCAAGACAGTGAGTTGGCAGGGATGTCCCAGACTTTTATTACCAAGGGGATGGTACTAAACCATTCATGAAGGATCTGTCCTTATGATCCAGTCACCTTGCATCAGGCCCCACCTTCAACACTGGGAATCACTTTTCAATACGAGATTTGAGGGGGACAGACATCCAAATCATGTTATGATTCTCTTTATTAATAATAATATATCTACTTTCAGAATATTTACAAATTTTCCAGGTATTTAGACTTGAATAGACTCATTTCATTCGGTGCTATACACATTTAGTTCAAAGTTTACAATGTAGAAATTAATTCATCAGTGTAAGTTAGTCAACAAAATATTTTCTTAATGCATTGTAAAACCTTGTCAAACTAAGATCTGTTTATTCATAATAGTGCTAAATACAAAGTAAATGCTTCCCCAAAATTAATTCGATTTGTGTAAAAAATATATGAGATGCTTTGAATGTAGTTAATTTGTAGTTCATTTATTTCAGACCCTTACATTTCAAATTAACACACTTAAAAATTTATAAGTTTAGTACACTTTAATGGAGGACATATTCTTTTTTTGTTGTTGTTTTTGCGTTCAGATAAAATTAACTTTAAATACAGAATAATGCTACTAGCGGTTTTGAAGGAATATTCTTTCCTATAAGATGAAGGCATTGAAAAGAGCCGCCTCCAGCCATTTCTTATCTCTGAATTAATAGTATAGTTACATTAATAAATAAGGACTTTAACCAAATGAAAATGCAACTTCTTATCTTCCTGTACTTTCATTTAGAATAACATTTGGAGATATATTTATCAGAAGTAAATAGGAGACTGTATAAAACCAAATGAAATATTAGTAATAAATGAGTAAAATCATGTTAAAACAAACTATTTTTAAGTCTGTAGGGAAAATTTATGTTTCTATTCTAGGTATAATATTTTTATGTCACTTTAGAACTTCTAAATCTTCAGGAAATTATCGTTATATATTTTCATTAATTCTCAGAAATTTAACAATTTTATTGTATGTTCTGTTTGTCCTTGGAAAATATATTATTTTTGTATCTTGATTATATTTGATATTATAAATCACATAATACAAAGAAAATTACTTTATCTTAATAATTGCTAACACATTGAACACATTTTTCACTAAGTATTTTTAAATTGCTTTATGGAGTTATGTTTTTTCTTTAAAATTTACTCATGGCTGGGTATGGTGGCTCACGCCTATAATCCCAGCACCTTGGGAGGGTGAGGCAGCAGGATCACTTGAGGTCAGGAGTTCAAGACCAGTCTGGCCAACATTTAGGTGAGATCCTGTCTCTGCTAAAAGTACAAAAATTGGCTAGGCATGGTAGCAGGCACCTGTAACCCCAGCTACTTGGGAGGCTGAGGCAGGAGAATCGCTTGAACCCAGGATGTGGAGGTTGCATTGAGCCAAGATCACACCACTGCACTTCAACCTGGGTGACAAAACAAGACTCAGTCTCAAGTAGAAAACAAACAAAATTTACTCATTTCAAGTGTACAAGTCAATGATTTTTTTTTTTGTAACTTTACTGAATGGTATAGCTATTACCGTAAGTTATTTTTGGAACATTTCCATTAGCCATTCAGATCTGCCATGCCTATTTACAGTTAATCCCTACTCTCACCCTCAGTATCAGGCAACCACTCATCTACTTTATATAAATTCGCCTATTTTGGACATTTTATATAATTGGGATCATACAACGTGAAGTCTCTTGTGTCTGGCTTCTTTCACTTAGCATGTTTTTGAGGTTCATCTGTAGACTTAGCAGGGTCAGTATTTCCTTTTTATTACTGAATGGTACTTCATTGTATAAATATACCACATATTGTCTATCCACTTAACCACTGATGAACTTTTAGGGCATTTCCAGTTTTTTACTATTAGGAATAATGCTGCTATGAACATTCACTTGCAAGTCTTTGTGTGGTTGCTTGTAAGTATTCTAAAATCTCTGTGTACATTAATACCTTTAATCTTCACAGCATCTCCAGAGTTAAATAGTATTATCATCCCCATTCTATAAAAGAGGAAACTGTAAAATTATATTAACATCATATAGCTACTAAGTGATGGACCCAGAAATCAAACCAGTCTGATTCCAGATCTCCTGTTTTTAATTCTATAATTAATTAATTTTATATTAATGTGTCTATCATATTGATAGGTATAGTTAAATAATTATTCTAATTAACTTAGATCCACCATTATATAGTCCTTTTAAACCGGAATTTAAGTAAATATTACTTTATCATTAGATTTATTATTAGAAATTTTTATGAAAAGGATAAAGGTGGCCTTATTCATCCTTCTTTGTCTAGCACCTGTCAAAGAGTATGGCACATAGAAAGGTAGCCAATAAATGTTTATTGAATTAATATAGCCAAAAAATAAAAAAATTATGTGGATTTTTCTGTTGCTTAGGTATAGTTTTTTTTCATTATTTATCCTTTTCTTGTGTATCCTAATTTGAAGAATTTACTTGATTTTATTTTATTTTTGAGATGGAGTCTCACACTGTCGGCCGGGCTGGAGTGCAATGGCGCAATCTCAACTAACTGCAACCTCCGCCTCCCAGGTTCAAATGATTCTCCTGCCTCAGCCTCCCGAGTAGCTAGGATTACAGGCACCTGCCACCACACCCGGCTGATTTTTTGTATCTTTAGTGGAGATGGAGTTTCACCATGTTGGCCAGGCTGGTCTCAAACTCCTGACCTCGTGATCTGCCTGCCTTGGCCACCCAAAGTGCTGGGATTACAGGCGTGAGCCACCGTGCCTGGCCTTGCAGAATTTAATGTAGATTATATTTTCAATGCATTTCTGATTAAATATCCTGAGACTACTACAGATGTTTTAAGATACTATAATTGGCAAACAGGTTGACTGTAGCTCAAGAATTGGGAATCCAAGTTATATGTTATGCAAAATATGAATAAAAAAGATGTCCACTTTTTTCAGGTTGATTTTTGGCAGGAATACTATGTCAGTGAGATGTCTTCAGTGTGTTACATCAGGGACCACATGATCTCAGATATTATTGGTGCTACTAACTTTGCTTGTTTAAGTGGTGTGGTGTCCACTAGATTGCTCCATTTTGGAAGACCTTTTTCCACTTTTTCGGGAGTAAATAATTTCTGGATTGATACTTTGAGACTGTGTGAATATCCTGTTCCCCAATACCTAGTGGTTTTAACATTCATTGATGATTCTTGACTAAATCAATTATTACCTTTTTCTTTAGTATTGATACTCATAGATTCTTTTTCTATTCAGTGTTATCCACTCCTGTCATTTTTTATTTGGATCCCCAAATTGTCTCAAATTGGGCTATCAATTGTTCACTCAAACCGACTCCCACATCTTTTTGATCTGTATGTGTCCCTGTATTAGTCCATTTTCACACCACTGATAAAGACATACCCAAGACTGGGCAATTTACAAAAGAAAGGTTTATTGGACTTACAGTTCCACATCACTGGGGAGGCCTCATAATCATGGCAGAAGGTGAAAGGCACATCTTACATGGTGGCAGACAAGACAAGAGAGCTGCTGCGGGAAAGTCCCCCTTTTAAAACCATCAGATCTCATGAGTGAGACTCAGTCACTATCACAAGAACAGCGCAGGAAAGATGCACCCCCATAATTCAGTCACCTCCCATCGAGTGCCTCCCATGTCACATGGAACTTGTGAGAGTTAAAATTCAAGATGAGATTTGGGTTGGGACATAGCCAAACCACGTCATTTCGCCCCTGGCCCCTCCCAAATCTCATACCCTCACATTTGAAAACCAATCATGCTTTCCCAACGGTCCCCCAGAGTCTTGTCTTATTTCAGCATTAACTCGGAAGTCCACAGTCCAGCATCTCATCTGACACAAGTCAAGTCCCCTCTGCCTATGACGCAGTAAAATCAAAAGCAAGTTAGTTACTTCCTAGATACAATGGGGGTACAGGCATTAGGTAAATACAGCTTTTCCAAATGGGAGAAATTCACCAAAACAAAGGGGCTACAGGCCCCATGCAAGTTTATAATCCAGCAGGGCAGTCAAATCTTAAAGCTCCGAAATTATCTCCTTTGACTCCATGTCTCGCATCTGGGTCATGCTGATGCAAGGGGTGGGTTCCTGTGGTTTTGGGCATCTCCGCCCCTGTGGCTCTGCAGGGTACAGCCTCCTTCCTGGCTGCTTTCACAGGATGGTGTTGAGTGTCTGCGGCTTTTCCAGGCACACTGTGCAAGCCATTGGTGGATCTCCCATTCTGGGGTCTGGAGGACAGTGGCCCTTTTCTCACAGCTCCACTAGGCAGTGCCCCAGTAGGGACTCTGTGTGGGTGCTTCGACCCCACATTTTCCTTCTGCCCTGCCCTAGCAGAGGATCTCCATGAGAGCCCCACCTCTGCAGCAAACTTCTGCCTGAACATCCAGGTATTTCCATACATCTTCTGAAATCTAGGCGGAGGTTCTCAAACACCAATTCTTTTTTTTTTTTTAATCTTTTATGTGGATTTTGATTTTTTTTCTTTTTTTTTTTAAATTATACTTTAAGTCCTGGGATACATGTGCAGGACATGCAGGTTTGTTACATAGGTATACATGTGCCATGATGGTTTGCTGTGTCCATCAACTTGTCATCTACGTTAGGTATTTCTCCTAATGCTATCCCTCCCCTTACACCCCACCCTGCTGACAGGCCCCAGTGTGTGATGTTCCCCTCCCTGTGCCCATATGTTCTCATTGTTCAACTCCCACTTATGAGTGAGAACATGTGGTGTTTGGTTTTCTGTTCCTGCCCAAACACCAGTTCTTGACTTCCGTGTACTCACAGGCTCAACACCACGTGGAAGCTGCCAGGGGTTGTGGCTTGCACCCTCTGAAGCCACGGCCCGAGCTCTGTGGTGGCCCCTTTCAGCCACGGATGGAGCAGCTGTGATGCAGGGTATTGAGTCCCTAGGCTGCAGACAGCACAGAGACCCTGGGCCTGGCCCACAAAACCACTTTTTCTTCCTTGGCCTTCTGGACTGTGATGGTAGGGGCTGCGGTGAAGACCTCTGACATGCCCTGGAGACATTTTCCCCATTGTCTTGAGTTTTAACGTTTGGTTCCTCATTACTCATGCAAATTTCTACAGCTGGTTTGAATTTCACCTCAGAAAATGGGATTTTCTTTTCTGTCACATTGTCAGGCTGCAAATTTTCCAAACTTTTATGCTCTGTTTCCCTTTTAAAACTGCCTTTAACAGCACAAAGTCACGTCTTGAATGCTTTTCTGCTTAGAAATTTCTTCCGCCAGATACCCTAAATCATCTCTCTCAAGTTCAAATTTCCACAAATCTCTGGGGCAGGGGCAAGATGCCGCCAGTCTCTTTGCTAAAACATAACAAGAGTCACCTTTGCTCTGGTTCTCAACAAGTTCCTCATCACTGGAGACCACCTCAGCCTGGATCTTATTGTCCATATCACTATCAGCATTTTGGGCAAAGCCATTCAACAAGTCTATAGGAAGTTCCAAACTTTCCCACATTTTTCTGTCGTCTTCTGAGCCCTCCAAACTATTCCAACCTTTGCCTGTTACCCAGTTCTAAAGTTGCTTCCACATTTTTGGTTATCTTTTCAGCAGGACCCCACTCTAACTGGTAGCAATTTACTGCATTAGTCCGTTTTTACACCACTGATAAAGACATACCTGAGACTGGACAGTTTACAAAAGAAAGAGGTTTATTGGACGTACAGTATCACATCGTTTGGGAGGCCTCACAATCATGGCAGAAGGTGAAAGGCACGTCTCACATGGTGGCAGACAAGAGAAGAGAGCTTGTACAGGGAAACTCCCCTTCTAAAACCACCAGATCTTGTGAGACTCACTCACTATCATGAGAACAGTGCAGGAAAGACCCACTCCCATATAATTCAATCCCTTTCCATTGAGTTCCTCCCATGACACACAGGAATTGTGGGAGTTACCATTCAAGATGAGATTTGGATGGAGACACAGCCAAACCATATCAGTCCCAATCAGGTCTTGAGTCCTTTCTTCCTTTTAATCCTTTTGTGAGGAAGGACATTTAGAAATGAAGATCTAGGTGTGCTTGTTACTGCTGGGTATCATTTCATCTAGGCTCTTTTAGTGAACAGTTTATTTTGATACCACGCATTCAATCCAGTACCAGAGTTCTTCCTCTTATTTCTCTTTTCTGTATTTGTATCTCTCTTCACCCATAGAACTGTGGTTCCTAGCAAAATTCATGTATGTATTAATTTGCTCAGTCCTACGATACATATAAAATAGTTTAGGTATTGCTACTTAAATGCCAGTACCAATAATAAATCTATTACATAAAATTCAAGAATTTTGGTTGCGTAATGTTTGTCCTCAGAATATATCCAATAAGGTTGTACAGTATACTGTGTTCAAAAGTTATTTGCATTAATTCTTTTTTGTGGTTATCTGTTTGCTATGAATATAGTTCACTTCACACTTTTTATTTCATTCGATGTTGAGTTTTTCAATTTGTTTTTGAATATGTAAAACATTAGTCTAAATTAAAAGCTAAATAAAAACATATACTCAGATAAATCCCATTTCTTTTTTATTTCTTCTGCTTCATTCCCACTCACCTGTGTAGATAACCACTTTTTTTAGTTTCTGGCTTATCATTCCTGTGTTTTGTTTTGAAAAAATAATTATGTGTGTCTTGTTATTTTCCCTTCACATAGAATACTACATATGTGTGTATGTGTGTATATGTATTTTTTCTTTTGCATTTTTCTTTTGTTACTTATTTTGGAAACCACTCCATATGAATTCACAGAAATCTCCTTCCTTCTTTTTTACATCTGCAGGTTATACTTCTGAATAAGCTCCTAACTTATATTCAGCCAGTATCCCACGTTCATGAGAAATACCTACCTTTCAGACCACTTTTTATAGGATATTAATATCAGATTCTTTGAAAGCATAATTAGCCTCATATCTGTGTTACTTTCTCTCCTTTACATTTAATATGATTGAGACTGCTAACAAAATCTTAATTGTTTTTAGAAGATTGTTGGATTTCTTGTCTGCTACTTATGTTAACTTTTGGACCCTTTTTTGCATATGTATAGTCAAATTTCTTGATTTGTATCCTGAACTGAAGTCAATCAGGAACACACTGTTGTCGAATTGTTAACAATAACTTGTTAAATTCTTTTTGAGCTCTTGGTTAAGTTACTCTTTAAGAGCAATTTATTTGGATTCTAATTATAGAATTTTCAGTATATTCTGGCTGTTTGAGTTTTTTCCCCCATGACAAAGTGTTTGGAGCAAATTTTAGGGTTTTTTTTTTCTGATACAGAGTCTTGCTCTGTCGCCCAGGCTGGAGTGCAGTGGCGCGATCTCGGCTCACTGCAAGCTCCGCCTCCCGGGTTCACGCCATTCTCTTGCCTCAGCCTCTGGAGTAGCTGGAACTACAGGTCCCCGCCACTCTCCAGACCTGGCGCAGTGGTTCACGCCTGTAATCCCAGCACCCTGGGAGGCCGAGGCGGGCGGATCATCTGAGGTCAGGAGTTTGAGACAAGCCTGGCCAGCGTGGTGAAACCCCGTCTCTACTAAAAATAGAAAAATTAGCTGGGTATGGTGGCGGGCGCCAATAATCCCAGCTACTCAGGAGGCTGACGCAGGAGAATCACGTGAACCCAGAGCCGGAGATTGCAGTGAACTGAGATCACGCCACTGCACTCCAGCCTGGGCAGCAAGAGCGAAACTACATCTCACCAAAAAAAAAAAAAAAAAAAGCTCTCCAAGCACAGAAACAACGGCATTCTAAAGCAATTTATTAAATATTAAAGAGTTGACAGGCAGAAAACATTATAAATGCTTAGGAGTCCATTTAATAAGTTGCTAACAGGAAATTATTGAGGTGTTTAAATTTTTTAAATAAAAAATAGTTCCATATACCCATTATAAGCTTATTTTCCTTTTATTAAAATTTAATTCACCTTTAATGTTACCTTTAAATTTTAGATGTGATATTAAATGCCAAGATCATTCTGCCATATTCTCTACATTTTCTTATGACTACTACTAGTATTACAATTTTATACAATATCCTACATGACTACAAATTTTCTTTCCTTTATTTGTACATAAGGACAAAGCCCAGATCAAAGAAGGGCAAATTACACCAGAACATGGAAATAATTGTATCCATACAATATCAATATAGATCAACATTTTAATTTAACTTTTTATGTTCATGCATAGAAGGTAGAATTATATTGTAGTAGAATCTCCTTTGGTTTTTTATTACAGTGAATCACTAATTTATGCCACTGTAATTTTATTTTTGAATGCCTGCTATGCTATGCACAGAGATAGAAAAAGAGCTGTTTAAGAGAAGATTAACGTCTTTCTGCCAAGTTGAGAAGCAACAGGTGGTTTGTGTGCTGAAGTAATAGTAGTGGTAAAATATAAGACTGAAAAGTTAAATTGGTATAGATCATTTAGGGTCTTAACTGATGGGCCAAGCAATTAGGACTGCTTTTTAGGCAGTGAAGGCCATTAGAAGATTTTAAACTAAAAGCTTTACATGACCTGACTTTTGCTTTAGGAAGATAACCCTATTAAGTCTATGAAGAATGGATTGGAGCTGGTGGAAATGAGAGGCAGGAAGATGAGTTAACTGTTGAGGCAGGAAAATTGTTTGGTTTAGTTGAACAGTAATAGGTAGCTTGTCAAATAGGTAAATGTAACAATTCCTAGCATTCATTAGGTAATTTTGTGGATTGTGTCTATAGTTTGAGTGCTTACATGTTCAACTTCTGGTACCAATCTCATTGAAATCTAGAGCCGTTAACTGTTATCCTAACTCTGGTCTTATCATCACAGCACCTTTAATTTTCTATTAATTTATGTATGTAAGTATATTACAAACTCAACAGTCTTTTTTGTTTGTTTTTTTACTTTCTCATTTTGGTATAAAGCCTATCTTCCAGTAGCTTCCAGAGAAATAGTGTATAGCAAGTGAGCTTTTTGAGATGCTGCACATTTGAAAATCTCTTTATTCTAACTTGTAATTGATTAATGGTTTGGCCAGGTATAGAATGTCAGTTTGGAAATCATTTTCCTATAGAATTTTGAAGTCATTGCTCTATTGTCTTCTCACTAATAGTGTTGCTATTTTGGTTCTCATTTATTTTTAGATATTTTATTTTCTCTGCAAGTTTTAATTATTATTCTTCCTGTGTTGGGAAATTTTGTAACATTGTACCTGGGGTACAACTTTCATTGTTGATGCCAGGTATTTGGTGGACACTTTCAGTTTGAATATTCATCTCTTAAGATGTAAAAAAAAATTGAATCATTTATTTCATAGTTCCTTCCATTTTCTCCTTTGTTTCTGGCAAGATTATTCATTTGATATTGAAAAGCCTAGTTTCCTCCCATACTGTAACTTTCTGCTATCACATTTTAAAATATCGAGTTGCTTCTCAGTCTCTGATGGTTTCTTACTTTAAGTAATTGTTCCTATTTTATGATTGTAATATCTTTTCATCACTAAGGATATTCTTTTCTTCCATCTTAAGCCTTTTTCTTGTTCTTATATTACATTTTCTTTTTTTTAAGTCTCTTGTCTTTTATATTGGAGGTTTTCTCACATATGTAGAGATTGTCATATGTAACAGTGATACGTAGAAAAGTAGATTAGAAACTGTGTGCCTGGACTGAGTTTGTTATCAGTGACTTCACTGCTAGTTGATTGGGAAGGAATATGACCATTTCATTTCAGACTCCCACATGTCAGTGTTTATAACTGTTGTCTCTTAGGCCCCTTAATTTTTCGGAATAATCCTCCATTATCCTCATTATCCTGCTTTTGTTGAGAAGTGTGATATACTGCTTGGCTGCAGCACTCTTGGAACTGAGTAATAAAAGGTAGCTGAGCATTTAACTGTTCATCAGATTTTCACTTAATTCTCTGTTTTCAGAGGGGGAGTGCTTATCCCTGTTTCCTCTTATGCCTGATGTTCCTTAATTGGATTCTTGGGTGCCTATTATAGAGGACACAGTTTGGGGTGGGAGTGTTGATATTGCTTACTGGGCAAGCTTTCATCTGCCTACTCTTGTTTTAGCATACTTCTTACCCACTACCTTCTAAGGTACTAATGCCTTCAATTCCTGAGCCTTTCTGGACCTCTGTTGAGTGAAAGGGCTTGTTTCTCATCATATTCTGATTTTCACATGAGTCAAGAGATGAATAAGCTGTGGAAAAACTTAATTCTGATCCTGTCTTCAGTGATTATTATCTATGTGATATAATAAACTTTTCAGAGTCTTTTCTTAAATGTAAATTGTCTAAAAATACTTGCCCTAAAGAGTTAGTGTGAGGACTAGAAATACTGCATGTCTTGGGATATGATAGTTCTGAATAAATGGTAGCTATTAACATATTTGTATTTATGAAAAGTCTTTATGTATAAAATTAAATAGGTATGCCCATTGATAATTTGTTGAAAAAAGTAAAAGTTAATGAACTTCAAACTATCTAAAAAATGGGAACAGCTAGCTTTTAATTGATGTTTTATTGATTGAGAGGGCAAAATATGTTTTTTTTCCTATTAGAATGTCTTAAAAATAGAATTGTTGGCCAGACACGGTGGCTCATGCCTATATTCCCAACACTTTGGGAGGCTAAGTCAGGAAGATTCCTTGAAGCCAGGAGTTCGAGACCAGCCTGGTCAACATAATGAAACCGCATCTCTACAAAAAAAAAAATACAAAGAATTAGCTGGGTATGGTGGCGTGCTTGGGAGGCTAAGGCAGGAGGATCACTTAAGCCCAGGAGCTCAAGACTACAGTGAGCTATGATTGTTCCACTGAACTCGAAATTAAAAAAAAAAAAAGGATTGTCTCCCATATAAAAAGTTAATTTGTTATAGTTATTGGTTATATATCAACTAAAATTTAAGTCAAAGTGAGTTCTCAGTTACCATCTCCAGTTCACCTTTAACCATTTAGAAATCTCTTCTAAGTAGGTGTTTTACTTCTCACAGAACATTTAGAAACATCATGTAAATAAGATTTTTGATGCTATTTTTAAAAAATGCTATTTTGCCTAAGACTAATCCTCATTTCAGATTTAAAACTCTGTAATTATACAGTTAGAGGCAAACTTTATTTTATATTCACTTTAAAAATTGATATAAATTAGCACCCAATGTGAAACTTACCTTTATAAGTTTATGTTCTTTAAAGTACATTTGATGACATCGTATTATAAAAGCTGTACTCAACTAAATATTTCCAACATTTATCCTTATGGAGCTGTTGTCTCTCAAGAGCTTTCAGTGAAACTGTGGGTGAAGGAATCTATAGGGCATGCAACTAGATGAGAATTGAACCAACTAAAAGGTAATTGAGACCTCACCCCCCACCAAAAAAATATTCCACAAGTTTTAAACATGTTTTTCATTAAGGGGTTCTGTGGATCCTTGGTAGGGGTTTGTTCTAGGAGTAAGATAAAATGAGGGTCAGGGAATCAGAATGAGGAGGCAGAGCTCGAGCTCCTTATTTCTTCTTTTATTAGTTTAAATAGATTAGATTTTATTTGAACAAAAGGTTCTATAACTAAAAAGTTTTTTTGGGGCCGGGCACAGTGGCTCATGCCTGTAATCCCAGCACTTTGGGAGGCCAAGGCAGGCAGATCATGAGGTCAGGAGATAGAAACCATCCTGGCTAACATGATGAAACCCCGTCTCTACTAAAAATACAAAAAAAAAAAAAAAAATTAGCCGGGTGTGGTGGCATGTGCCTGTAGTCCCAGCTACTCAGGAGGCTGAGGCAGGAGAATCACGCCACTGCACTCCAGCCTGGGCAACAGAGCGAAACTCCGTATCAAACAACAACAACAACAAAAGTTTTTTTGAAAGCTTCCAGTTGTTACTATTATTATTTATTTATTTATTTATTTTTGAGACTCAGTCTTGCTCTGTCACCCAGGCTGGAGTGTAGTAGCTGCAGTCTCGTCTCACTGCAACCTCCACCTCCCAGGCTCAAGCAATTCTCCTGCCTCAGCCTCCTGAGTAGCTGGGATTACAGGCGCACACCACCACACTGTGCTAATTTTTGTTCTTTTAGTAGAGATGGGGTTTTGCCATGTTGGCCAGGTTGGTCTGGAACTCCTGACCTCAAGTGATCTGCCTTCCTCGGCCTCCCAAAGTGCAGGGATTACAGGCATGAGCCACCACGCCCGACCCCAGTTGATATTGATAATTGAAATCCCAAGATTGGAGACAAACCCAAACATGAGGTAGTATAAATATCTAAATTAACCTTTCCTTGTTCTCCCATTGTTTAAAACCTTCTCTAGTTGGCCAGTTCTTTGCAGAGGTAATTTGGTCATCATGCATCATGGCTGACTTTGTACCTTTGTTAATATTGTACCCCAGTTTGAAACATTGAACCCTCTTTCAACCTATTTAGCACTGCATTTCAAGGCCAAAGTTAAGGCCAACTCCTGCCATGAAGTTTTCTTGCCAACACTCTCACAGATTAATCTTTCTATTTTCAGAATTTCTATAGACCTCGGTTGCTTTGGATATTCTTTTGTTATGTACAGTAACTTGTTTCACTTCACTTTGGTATGAGTTCCCCGTATCTCACATAGTGCTTGCTGGATGCAAATTTAATAAATCAATAATTTTTTTATTTAATTGGAACAAAGTTATGAACTTGATTTTTCTAATTAAAACCTCTCTTGCCCTTATTACCATTAGCCTTTGATTTTGTTAATGATTTATATATTTGGACTTCTTGAGTTTCTTGAGTTTGATTCTTTAACATTCCTTATGATCTCTTTCATTTTGCATTCATCTTGATATGGCCACAAAATGGAGTAATAAATCATTCATGTTTGACAGCTAGCTATACTCCTACTTCCCCATAGCCTGACAACAGAATACTCCTTCCATATGCAGATTTCTTGTGACTATTTGGGGGTAAGGAGGACCATCTCTCAGAATATACAGAACACATAAACTTTCTCTCCCTGTGTGTTCTTACATAGGCATTTGATTAGGTTGTACATTTAGGTCTATACCTACCACAGATTATAGTGATGTATAAGAAAGATTGTTTGTCCCTATATTAATTGTGTTTGTATCAGGATGTTTAATGGGACTTTTCTTGAGGGTTTTGTTATTCTGGAATCGGTGACTAGGGACCGAAAGCTGGAATAAAGAGGTAATAGTAATTCATCTCTCTATCTAAAATCTTGAGCTAACAGCCATTGACATTCTGGGTCAGAGACTTCCCTACGTATTTATTATGAGGTAGTCCAAACTGGTTTTATTGCTCCCAAATATCAGTCTAACTGCTGTGCTCCCACTCCCACACCATATCAAATAAGCAGGAGATGAGGTAGGGGGAGAAAGAGAGTTGGAGTTTTGAAGTTGGGAGGTACTGTGGTTACAGCTCTTCTGCCTCATCGTCTTTTTCAGTGGGCACTTGAGATTTGTGAAGAACACGGAGATATTTTTGAGGCTCCCTTTGAAGGAGCATGGAAAATAGAGGAGGCAAGAGTTATAGGGCTAATCAGGCAACCAGCAAACCAGGGAATTTGTTACCTAATTAGGGGATTAGGAGTATGGACTGCTGACCACAGGGGAAGACTTGGCTGCCCTCCTCTTGGTAGTTCCTCCGTGACTGCAGAGGCTGAGATGAAGCTGAATATCACCCAAATGAATTATCTGCGTAATTTATGAAGAAACCACCATATCAGCAAAAGCTACCACAGCCAACCAGTGCTAGAGTGAGGTTTAGGGTACCTTTCTACTACCTGCATGCAAACAGTAAGGCAGTCTCAGCAATTTCTGCTATTCCTGTTCCTTACCCCAACACATCAGAGTAATTAGAGGTGGAAGAGAGGGGAAAATGTTCCCGAATGAAGTCATTCAAGGTGCTGGATGGAGTAAAGAGGATTAAAAGTGCAGACCTCACTTTGTCTCCCACTCAAAAGTTCCATGAACAGAAGCTTAGCTGGCATCAGAGGGAGGGAGTAACAAAAGCAAATACATATATAGTGCTTGCGATGTAACAGGCACTGTTTTAAGCCCTTTACTTATATTAGTTCATTTAATGTTTTGACAGCACTGTGAACTATGAACTATTATTAATTCTGTTTTACAAGTTAGAAACTTAGATATAGAGAGGAAATTAAGTTAGACCTGGGAATGGAGTTTTAAATTCTACTAGCTTTAAATTCTACTAGATTCTTTACTAACAGAAAGTGACTGGTAATGAATGAACTCTGCCTTAGGATCAAATTAAGGGCAGGATGAGAGAAATTCACTATCATACAATTAAAACATAAGGATTAGAATAAAAATTTCCCATGCAAAAAATTCCTGGGAATTTCCCATGCTAAAGTCCCATACTAATTTGGGAATTAATTTGATGGCTAAGAGTTGACAAATTCTCTTACTCAACCTGAGTAAGATAAATTATATATATACCTGTATATGCATGATGACAAGAAAGAATATATATATATATATATATATATAGAGAGAGAGAGAGAGAGAGAGAGAGAGAGAGAGAGACATGAATAGGATTACATTAACATTATTTCCAAAATAATGGCAACTGAAATAATTACTGTCAGAGTTGTGGGCCCTAGGATGTAAAGAGGCTGTTCTTTCAGTTCATGCACTGCATGTTTTCTTCCCAGGGTGTGAATGCATTGCCAGAATTGGCAGGATAAAATAATTTATTAGCCACCACATTGCACTAGGGGTCCATACTCTTCTCTGACCTCAGGCCCGATAGCCTGATATGGCTTTCTGTGAAAGATATCTCCTTTTCTTATTGTGAGTGTTAAGAGTCTCATTGCACTTTTCAGAAATTTGGATTGTTACATTCACTTCACCCTCTAATTTGCAAGACATGTTTATATATAGTCTTAGTTTAAGATGCTTTCTCTGAAGGCATCTCACCCTCCCATATAAATCAGTGGATGCAAGTTTATCTACAGTGGGTGGAGAATGAGGAAATGGGGTGGGAACTGGGAAGTGGGAAATTGAAGGATATGGGTGCCATCTAATTCCATTGTATGAGAGGTATCTGCATCTCAGCTCTAGTCTAGCATTGGTCCTTGCTACATCTGTTTCAGCATTGGAATTATATGCAACTTCATTTGTTTTTTCTTAAGCATAACTTAGACGTAGTTAGAGCCAATGGGTATGGTTGTATAGGTCTGTACTCAGGAGACTTGTAAATAGCAGACATGGTTTCTAATCTTACCCTTTGTATAAACTATTACCTTAGGCATGTCACAGGCTCACGTTTCCTTTTGCACAAATGTTAAGGTTAGGCAATGCGATCTAAGGTAAGGTCCATTCCACTTCTCACATTTTGAGTTCCTATGTTCCTAAGTAGAGCTACTAAAATTGCATTTTATTGCCTTTATAATTGCCAGCATAATATGTAAAGTTAACTTCAAAAAATAAACTGGTATGCGGTTTATATTCTGTAATCTTTCTTTTAGTTCTTTTATATAGCTACTTTTCTAAAATTTATCATTTGTCTCTATGTCAGGATTAACGTGAGAATTCTGTGTGCTTTGAACTTTGGTGCTGTATTACAAATATTCCAAAGTAGGTTTGTAAAGGAAGAAAACTCTGAGCCAATTACTTATTTACCTTTAGAGAGGTTTAAAATATTCATTGGTTGTACTTGTGGGCAAAAAATATGGAAATTTAAAGGGAAACAGCCCTCTAATAGAAAGGAAAAAATATATATATTCAATCCATGGGCCATGCTGCTATTATTGCTGAGTGAGATCACATGTCCTTTTTTAGGGCAATTTTCCATTTGCTGTTGCTGTTATGATGTTAAATTTCTATGCATCATTTTCTCCAGCTTTAATTGGCAGTTGAATTGCTATAAAACATGTTTTTCTGCTATTTTCTTACAGAATACTTGGTGAATAGATTTGATCAACAGCGTTATCTATAAACTCCTAATTAAATTCAGGGCTTAATCAATTAAGACATCTTTGATTTATCTACTCTGTCATCGTTATTTAAGTTTTTTATCTTTGCAAGAAAACTGAAAAGATATGTTTTGTTTACCTGAACTAGATTCTCTGTCTTCACTGAAAGGACTTCCATGCCTTTATTGTATTTCCCAAAGGCCTGCCATTTAATCTTTTTTTTCATTATCTCAGATACCATTGAATCCTTTTTCTCTATCCCATTAATTTCATCCTTCATATTACTACACCTTGACATTAATGGCCTGTCATTGTAGAGGATATTATGTTTGGTATGTCAGTAATACTGAATAGGACTAATACGAAATTTTCATAATTGAGTTGGGTTGCATGAGCAATGATGTTCGTATCTGGAGGGTTTCTTTAAATGTTGAGTCAAATTTGAAGCTTCTGGGAAGAAAAATTATCAAAATATATGCGTTTATTCTTGCCTATGCGAATTTTAAATCAGAGGCTAATCAACTGTGTGTTACATTTCAAGTTATTGGTAAACATTTATGTTCTTAGTAGCCTCAAAAATAGATGTTTATAGACTAAGGTTCAGTTATCTTTTTTTCCTTATTCTTTTAAAAGCAAATATCCACAGTAAAGGTGACATAAACTAGAGTCTGGTATAATGGATATTCAATGCTGTATCTTGACATGCTTAACTAAGAAAACTCAATTTAAGTTTGATAGACTTGAGCTTTTACAGATGAGGGTCACTTCTAGACATGTAACTAGTTATGGAAATTTAGTAGTGGGGTTTATACTTAAGGAATTTAAATGAAACTAACTTTACTGATACAAAAATAGTAATCTGAATTTAAGTATTAAAAGTATTCTCAATTCACAATATAACTTAGAACTTTGATTTTGTAATTTTATGTACATGTTGTTTGTTGGCTAAACTTCATATAATCTATTGTTATATTGTGAGCTTTGCTATTTGAATCTTATTCAGCTTTGTCTCTTTCAGTATTTAGAGTTAATTTTCTAAGACTACTGTAGTTGCCTTATTTTTTCAATTATCTCTTTTTTTCAATAGTGTAAAGATCTATTATACAGTGGCTTTGCATTTTTGGCATTCCATTGCAGAAAGTATCAATTTGTCACATAAAAAGAAAAATTAGATATACTTTATTCATGTTAAAGTAACACCCTAGCTTTTTTAAAGGCAGCTTTGACTTAGACTTCCAAGCCTGAGGATATTGATTTGAATTATGCATGACTGTCTGGTGTGCAGTTGCATTAGCCTGCTGGATGGATAATGTAAACATGTTCTGAATTTTAAGTACACGACAGTATATGAGTGGCAGGTTAAAAATAGAACTAATAACCAAGTGCATATTTGGAAATTTGATTCTTACAGTGTAAAACTATCCAGGGATGATCTCTGCAAATGGTTGACTGCAAATATAATAACTTGTTTTGTATTCTACAAATATAAAAGATAGTGTCTGATAAGTATACTGGGTCAATGATTTTTTTTCTAATTTGTCAAACTTTTGACACTAGAAAACAAAAGCACAATAATGTGCAAATGAATAAGGATTACCTTTCACAGATTATTAGTTGATTGCTCAGCCATGCTGTTTCTAACATATTTTTCAATAAATAGGCAGGAAGATTTGATGCTTGTTATACCACTTTGCCATCAACACGTCCATTTTGAATTCTAGAATTGCAGTGGGTACAACTAAACGTTGTAGTTTACAAATGAAATTTGACATTCTATTCTCATGAATTCCTGTACCTTTCACTCCCATTTCAAATTGGTAGAAAACAGTTCATTCTAACTACAATCTGTATCTTTGACACTTATATTTTAATTTACATTTCCAACTATACATTTTTCCTAACGTTTTAATTGTTCTTTAATTGTGAAAATAATTTCTAGTTTTAAAGTTTAATATTAAATGTTTTAGTTTTTTATAGTTTATGTGCTTGTATTATATATGCTGTGTGTATGCATGTATATTTATTTGTGCATGTTGGTAAATTTGACCGTTTTTCTTTTGCGTTGATGGTATTTTTCTTCTTGATTCATAATTCATGAATATTAAGAATATTAGCCTTTGTTGCATGTAATATTTTTTCTAGTTTTTTTTTTTTTAACATTGATGGTGATTTTGTTGACCCAAAATTTTTATATTATCTCAGATTTTTTGTTTTTTTCATTTATAGCTTCTGGATTATATGTCACGTTCAGAAAGACCTTTCCTGTTTTGAGATTTGGAAAATTTTGTTCATGTTTTCTTCTAGTATTTTTATGGGTTCATCTTTTTTACCTGTAAATCTTTGAGCTAGCTTTGATTTTTGTTGCAAGAACTGAAGTGGAGATCTAGCATTCTTCTTTTCCAAATTGCTGCCATTTATCACTATGTTATTGCTGGAAAATCTAATTTATTAATCACTGATTTGAAATACTGCTTTTATCCTATATTAAATTCCTTTTTGGACTTGTATCTATTTCTGAACTTTATTGTGTTCCAATTAATTTCTCTATGACAGTGTCTAATGCTGTAACATCATATTCCTTGTCAAATCTTTTATGGTTATTCTTATTCAATAATTTTTTCAGCTGAACTTTTAGAATAATTCTGGTGCAATTTTGAATGAGATCACATTGAGTTTATGTTGAGTGTTTCTTGATTACTTTTAATGCAGATTTTAATTACCGTTGTGAAGTTTTTTGATGCCCTTCCTTTCCATTTCAAAATATTCTTATGTTTTTATCCATCATTTCTACGTTGTATTCTAGAGGCCAGATACTTCTCTTATGCCTTAACTGCTGTCTTCATTTGGCCACAGCTGGAATTGGTTATTAGTAATCACTTATTCTTTTTTATTGTGTGATGGACTTCTTTTTTCTCCATGATTCACATTCTTCCATTCTTAAACACTCCTAGGTTTCCCTATATGAAGAGTACCCTCCCTCTAATCTTAATTTTTTTTAGTATTTTTTTAAAAATCAACTTGAGATATAACAGCCTTCTAATCTTTTAAAGTCCTTTTAACACCCTCTTTCCGTTTCTTATAAATCTCTTTAGAAGGCTAGCTGACAATGCTTTCATATTTTCACGATCCATTTTTCCAAATCATTTGAAAGCTGACTTTTAGTTATCCCACACTAGTGAATTTTTTCTATTTAGTTTTTCACTGTGGTAAAATATATACGCAGCATACAATTTATCTTGTATAAGTGGGACTGCATATAACTTAAATCATAATATATGCCTTTTTGTGTCTGATTTATTTCACTTAGCATAAAGTTTTCAAAGTTCATTCATGTTATGGCATGTATCAGAATTTCATCCTTTTAAAAATCTGTTATTTATTTCTTTTAATTTTGGTAAAATATGTAAAATAAAATTTACCATCTTTAAAGTATGCAGGTCTTTGACACTAAGCACATTCACAATGTTATGCAACCATCACTATTAACTATTTCCAGAACTTTTTTATCTTCCCAAATAGAAACTCTGCCTATTAAAAAATAACTCATTTCCTCTACCCCTTAGTCCTTGGTAACCACTATTCTATCTTCTGTCTCTATGAATTTATATGTTACAAATAACTGATGTAAATGGAATCATACAATATTTGTCCTTCTGTGTTTGGTTTATTTCATTTAGCATAATGTCTCCAAGGTTCATCCATATTGTACCAGGTATTATTTCTTTTTGTGGCTGAATAATATTCTGCTGTATGTATATACCACATTTTGCCTATCCATTCATCCTCTGATGGATTCTTGAGTTGCTTCTACCTTTTGGCTATTGTGAATAATACTACTATAAACACTGATGTGCAAGTGTCTGATTGAGTTGCTGCTTTCAGTTATTTTGGGTGTATACCTAGGAATAGAATTGTAGGGTCACATGCTAATTCTATGTTTAACTTTCCTCAGAACTGCCAAACTGTTTTCTACGATGGCTGAACCCTTTTACACTCCACCAGCAATGCATGAGGGTTCCAATTCCTCCACACCCTCGCCAACACTTGTTATTCCTTGCTTAGTTTTGTTTTTAATGGTAGCCATTCTAGTGGGTATAAACTAGTATCTCATTATGGTTTTGATTTGCATTTCCTTAATGACTAATGGTGTTAGGCGTCTTTTCATGTGCTTACTAGCCACTTGTCTATCTTCTTCTGAGAAATGTATATTCAAGTCCTTTGCCCAGTTTTGAATTGGGTTGTTTTGAGTTGTTTCATATTTTCTTCCATTCTGTGGACTATCTTTTCTTGGTAGTGTGCTTTGATGCACAAAAGTGCTTGCTATGGTTTCGCTTTGTCCCCACCCAAATCTCATCTTGAATTGTAGTTCCTGTAATCCCCACATGTCATGGGAGGAACCCAGTGGGAGGTAATTTAATCATGGGGGCGGTTACCTCTCATGCTGTTCTTGTGATACTGAATGAGTTCTCATGAGATCTGATGGTTTTATAAGGGGCTTTTCTCCCTTTTGTTTGGCACTTCTTGCTGCTGCCATGTGAAGAAGGATGTGTTTGCTTCCACCTTCTGCCATGTTTGTGAGTTTCCTGAGGCCTCCCCAGCTGTGCTGAACTGTGAGTCAGTTAAACCTCTTTCCTTTATAAATTACCCAGTCTCAGGTATGTCTTTTTTTTTTAAGTTTTATTTAAATTTTTATTTAAAATTGAGACAATTATATTTTGTCTTTTAAAAAATAATTTTGAATATTTTAAAAGGCAACTTTTTTGAAAACATGAAAATAATTTTTAATATTTACTTAACTTTTCATTTTCAATGAAATGTATGTAAATATACATTTGAAATACTTTTTTAAATTTAATTTTATTATTATTTAAGTTTTAGGGTACATGTGCACAACGTGCAGGTTTGTTACATATGTATACATGTGCCATGTTGGTGTGCTGCACCCATTAACTCGTCATTTAGCATTAGGTATATCTCCTAATGCTTTCCCTCCCCCTTCCCCCCACCCCACAACAGTCCCCGGTGTGTGATGTTCCCCTTCCTGTGTCCATGTGTTCTCATTGTTCAATTCCCACCTATGAGTGAGAACGTGTGGCGTTTGGTTTTTTGTCCTTGTGATAGTTTGCTGAGAATGATGGTTTCCAGCTTCATCCATGTCCCTACAAAGGACATGAACTCATCATTTTTTATGGCTGCATAGTATTCCATGGTGTATATGTGCCACATTTTCTTAATCCAGTCTATCATTGTTGGACATTTGGGTTGGTTCCAAGTCTTTGCTATTGTGAATAGTGCCGCAATAAATATACCTGTGCATGTGTCTTTATAGCAGCATGATTTATAATCCTTTGGGTATATACCCAGTAATGGGATGGCTGGGTCAAATGGTATTTCTAGTTCTAGATCCCTGAGGAATCGCCACACTGACTTCCACAATGGTTGAACTAGTTTACAGTCCCACCAACAGTGTAAAAGTGTTCCTATTTCTCCACACCTTCTCCAGCACCTGTTGTTTCCTGACTTTTTAATGATTGCCATTCTAACTGGTGTGAGATGCTATCTCATTGTGGTTTTGATTTGCATTTCTCTGATGGCCAGTGATGATGAGCATTTTTTCATGTATCTGTTGGCTGCATAAATGTCTTCTTTTGAGAAGTGTCTGTTCATATCCTTCGCTCACTTTTTGATGGGGTTGTTTGTTTTTTTCTTGTAAATTTGTTTGAGTTCATTGTATTCCGGATGTTAGCCCGTTGTCAGATGAGTAGGTTGCAAAAATGTTCTCCCATTCTGTAGGTTGCCTGTTCACTCTGATGGTAATTTCTTTTGCTGTGCAGAAGCTTTTTAGTTTAATTAGATCCCATTTGTCAATTTTGGCTTTTGTAGGTATGTCTTTATTAGCAGCGTGAGAACGGACTAATACAGTGCTCAATGAAAAGTGTTTGATGAATTTCAATTTATCTCTTGGTCCTTTTGTTGCCTGTGTTTTGTTAGTTGTATCCAAGAAATAATTCCCAAAACCAGTGTCATAAAAAATTTTTCATTTTCTTCCAAGAGTTTTATACTTTAAGCTCTTATATTTAGGTATTTAATTTTGAGTTAATTTCTATATATAGTATAAGATAAGGGTCTAATTTCATTCTTTTGCATGTGAATAACCACTTAGCACCATTTGTTGAAGACTGTTCTTTCCCCATTGAATGGCCTTGGCACCCTTATCAGTTGACCATACACATATGGTTTTGTTTCTGGACTGTCAAGTATATGTCATTGATCTACGTGTCTGTCCTCTTGCCAGTACCACACTCTCTTGATTACAGTTGCTTTTACTAAGCTTGAAATCATAAAGTGTGAGTCTTCCTACTGTATTCTTCTTTTTCTTTATTGTTTTAGCTATTCTGGTTATCCTTGCAATTCCGTATGGATTTTAGAATCAACTTGACAATTTTTACAAAGAATTCGTCTGAGATCCTTATGGAGATTGTGTTGAATCTGTAGATTACTTTGGAGGATATTGCCATCTTAATATTAAGTCTTCTAATTCATGAACATGAGATGTTTGTCCAGTTATTCAAGTCTTCTTTAATTTCTTTCAACGATGTTTTTCAGTTTTCAGATGTTTTATTCATGTTGTGTCATGCGTTAGAATTTCATATTACTATATTCTGAGAACTTTTTTAGGACTTGAAACATTATATAGATTTGAAGACCTCTCTCTATATATCACCATATTCTAGAATTTGGTATTTATGCATCTTAAACGTATTTTTAAAATTTACCCTCCCATTAACAGCCTTCTTACTGATCTTTTATGTCCTCATCAATGCTTACATTTGCTAGATTTTTGCATTTTTGGCAATCTGATAGGTGGTATTTCACATTTTTGTGGAGTTCCTAGGAAAAGCTGATAATATAGAAATGTGAGATGTAAAGATTGAAAAGGAAGAAATAAAACAGGAATTGCTTGGAAATGATATGGTTGTCTTATCTAGAAGAGGAAAGAGATTCTACAGGCAAATTATTAGGAAAGGTATCTTGTTCAACAATCTTGTTCATTATTTCTAATAAATTCTAATAATTTACCTCTAGCTCTGGCTAGGAACTCACATACAATGTTTAATACCAGTGAATATGCCTCTTGTTTCTGTTTTAAAGAGAATGCTTCTAATGTTTGCCTTTTATGATGTTTGCTCTGGTTATTTGGAAGATACCTCTTATTGAATTAAGGAAATTCCCTTTTGTTCCTAGTTTGCTAAAATGATAATCATTAATTGATGTTTAATTTTATTATTTTCTCTTTCTAATCTTTGGAAATCACATGGATTTTATCTTTTAATCTGTTCATGTTGTGAATTACATTAAAAGATATCCCTTTGCTAAACTAACCTTGTGTTTCTGAAATAAAACCCAATTTGTCATGCTGTCTTTTGATTACCTCTTGTGTTCCCTTTATAAAGGGGTTTCCCAGAGAAGCTTACTATACACTATTTCTTCTCTTGCTATCTTTGTTTGAGTCTTAGGATCAAGGTTTTACAAAATTGTAAAGCAAGTTTTGGATTATTTGCTTTTTTTCATTTCTCTAGACCATTATACGAGATTAAGAGTATCTGTTCTCTGTTTGGTAGAATCAACCTATGAAATCACTTGTATCTTACGAGTTTTTTTATAGATAGATTTTTATTGATTTAATACTTTAATGTAGGTGTCATTGGATTCTCTATTTCTTCATGAGTCAGTTTTGGTAAATTATATTTTTCCAAAAATTTTTTATTGTATACATTTTTCAGAATTATGATTGTAAAGTTGTTAATAGCATTCTTTTGTTTACTTAATTCTTTCAGGGTTTTTAAAAAATAATTCTTTAATTATTTCAAGGAAACATTTTGGTTTTGTTAATCCTCTCTATAGAATTGGTTTTTTAAAAATTTTATTCTATCTACTTTCATTTTTCTTTTACTTAGATTTATACTTTAACTTCTTGAGCTGGATGCTTACTTCATTGTTTTTCAGTCTTTTTTGGTTTCTAACATGTGGATTTAAGGCTATACATTCCTTTTAAAATACCATTTCAGTTGTATCCAACACATTTTAATATGCAATATCTTCATTTTTATTTGTTTTTATAATTTTTCTAATTGCTGTTATGATTTTTTTCAGTTGCTGGGTTTGGATATAAAATTCCAAATATTTAAGCTAAAAGAAATCTCTTCTTGTTTCTGAGTTCTAAGTTAAGTGTGTTGTGATCAGCTATCAAAATCTATGCAATTCAACTTTTCCTATTTGTTAAGACTTGCTTTATGCGGCTGGTGTATTTGTGTATGTGTGTGTCAAGGGGATTAATATCTATTGTATCCAACAAAAGAGTATGCATTCTCTAATTCTTCGTTATAAGTTTCAGTGAATGTCTTTTAGTTGAGCTTATTGAGTTCAACTCATCTGCTGTATCTTTCCTAAATATTCTTTCTGCTTTGCCTTTTAATCAGTAGGAGAGATATGTAATATCTTCCACTATGATTGTAGATTTTGTCAGCTTTTTCCTTGGAATTCTGTCTGTTTTTCTTAAATTATTTTAACATTGTGTTATAAGGGACTTACATGTTTACAAATTCATCTTTCTGGTGGATTGTCCCATATATCATTTTGTGGTAATAACCTTCTTTATGTATTTATATTTATGTCTCTTCAGAGAGGGCTCAAAAACTATTTTATTTGTTATAATGTGCTTACACAGCTTTTAAAAATTGGTATTTGTTAAGTTATCTTTTTTATTCTTTAATATTCAACCTTTATTCTTAATTATAAGTGTATATTGTAAACATTTACTTCCTATGTATTTATCGCAGTACTTTTTATAATTATTCTTATTTGAACGTGTTTTTGCTATATTATTTTCTTACATTTACCCCACTTTTTCTATGCTTTTTTTTCTCTCTGTTATACCTTTTTTTTTGTTTTTGCCTTTGTCATGATGTGACTTTCAGGAACGTGATAGTGTGCAAAATTTTTTGATGGTTTCTGCATTTGATGGCATCTCTCTCTGGAAATAACCTCAGGAAAGATCACATTATGAACAGCTTTAGGAATTTAGAAACATTGAAGCAAAACATTATTCACATTAAAGTTGAGTTTACTAATGAGATCCTAGCATATTAATGTAAAATGTCTGCAAAATATAGTGGTCACTTAAACATCACTTAGCATAAACATTTTATTCTGAGGAGGAAAAAATGTTTTTATTCTTTTCATGTTTTAACCTTTGCATACAACTTCTCTCGTTCCGCTCTCCATCTCCTCCCCGACTGTGCCGTCACCATACATTTAAGGATCTTGGGAGCTTATGTAGTCTTGCAGGAAGGCCTGGATCTCAAATATGAAAAGGTAAAACTCTGTTAGAGTATCTAGACTTTCAAGAAATGAGGTTCTCTAGTTCCCTTTTATAATCCATTGCAGCAATAGCAGTTTTCACTTTTAGAAAATTAATCCCTTATTCTATTCCACTTTCAAAATGGAACTGTTAAATGTTATGGATTCATTGTAGTTAAAATTACACAGATCTTAGCAGTTTATGGACAAAAGCCCAGAGAGTTTAAATACTCACTTTGCTTTTTAGTAGCAGACCATGGGTTCAAACTCAGGTTTCTGCTCTCCCTGTTCAGTGTTCTTTATTGATTTTCCCTTTCCCTGTTATAAAAGCTTGACAAATTAGGCTTTCTTCTCAAGGCCTATGGAGTTTAGTAACTTGCATAATGCCTGGCACAAAATAGGTCTTAAAACAAATGCCCGTTGTTTACCATTTACTGGGAAAGACAGGTACACTTGGAGTTTTAAGTGGCTTGCGCTTTGTTGTATGTGGGCACAGAAGAGGCACACTGAAATCAGCTGAGTGTTTCTTGGTATAGGGTCGTCTGCTTTTCTCCAAACCACTCTTAACAGAACATGGGATTGTCTCCAGTAGCAGTCATGAGAGAAGCTGATTTAGGTGGATACATTTTCTCTGCTAGTCAGCTCAATTCAACAAAGATAGTTGGGTATAATTTTTTTTTTTTTTTTTTTTTTTTGGCTAGACTTTTGCTACAGTCCTTTGTGATGAGGAAAAACAGACTAAACATTCACTGTGAGTCTTGATAAAAACTTCAGACATGTATTGTAATATTTTTCCTTCAACTGATTCTCATATAAGCCTAGTAATACCATTTTTTACTATTTTTATGGTTTCTACTTAGAAACATTTCATAATCTTTCCAAAACAACAAAAGATGCCTTCCCCCTCTACAGATGGAAAAATTGAGGCATTGTGAGTGTTGAGTTGGAACCTCTGTGAAATTCACTGCATCAGACTGAATTTGTATATATATGTATTGCTTGTAAATTAAAGAGCTTTCCTTTAGTAAGTAGTATATTTATATATTAGATAAAAATATTTATGTTTATTCACTCTATGATCTCTAAGTCACAAGTCCTTATAGAAGGAGTAATATGTGTTTCTACATTGTAATACATATCTTAATCATAAAATTTAAAATAACTAAACATTCACTAAAAGGACTTGCCTAGCCACATTGAATAATATAATTCCTGTGAATTGTTATGTCATGTGAAGTTTCTTATTATTTATGTGGGTACATGTGTCTTAAAAAGCAGAATTGTATCTCTCTGACAAGAAGTCTGCCTAACTGCTTCATACATATTTATGCTATTTTTAAAAGGATAAGTCACAAAAGGAGTTGTTGAAAAATATTTTTTGTAGGAGCTGAGTTTGATATTCAATTCCTGATTTTTTAAAAAGATCTCATATGTAGTAGAAGATATTAAATAGTGAAGAAAGATTTGGTTGCTACACTAAGAAAGAAGAAAGTAGGGGTAGAATGAGATGATTTCTGACATAATCCGAATAATTTTACTGATAAAAAAAGCTTCGATTCCATTTTGCAGTGATGTTTTTATTACAAGTTAACACTTAACCTTGAACAATCTGCATATTCTCACAAATGACCTCTTTTGAAATTTTTTATTATGGGCTATATAATATGAATGTTCCTATGAGATATTGTCTTTCATATAATTAGAAGTTTTTATTACTGAAGAACTCAAAACTCAAGTTTACTTTCAGATTCAGGTTTTACTTTGAATCACAGATTGTCATATTGGCTTATTTTAATGTTTATACCTTTTTAAAAATAACTCATTTTCTATTCAATAATTTGATGTCTATTCAGATTTTTTAAAATAATTAGCTGATTAGCTGGTTAATTAAAGATATATATATATATATATACTATTTTTTAAAAGCATGAACAGTGATATAAACAATTAGAGATTCATAATGTCTTGATGCCTTGATTCCTGCCATGTCAGTTTTCTTGTGTTTGATGAGACACAGAGCAGTTATGGGAGAATACTTGTCACTGGTATCCATGGTAACTCCAAAGATACTTTGGAACTCAGAGGCATAGAGTGAGCCATAGTAATAGATCTCATTATAAGGGTAAAATACATAAAAGGTTCAGGCATATGCTTTTAATTAGTTGCCAAAAATAGAGCTGGAGAGGATGCAGTGAAATATTTTTCACTGTTAGAAATAGTATGGGCAGTGTTAAATTTTAAATGCTGCCCATAGTATTATATTTTTCTACTAAAGTAAGGGAGATGTACATTCTGAATACTCATAGTAGTGCAGTTTCTTAATCACAATTTGGACATGGGAGTACAGGAGTACACATTCATAAAAGAGAAGACTTAGTTTCATACTGATACAAATATAGTATTTGCTTATCATTTTTAATTCTTAGTCCTACAACATAGTTTATTCAGAAAAGCACTTCTTAAGACTTTTCCTTGTAGGTTCTAAACTACCCCTGAGATTTACTTTCTGTCTAAATAACATACAGAATATTATTCCATGCATTTTTGTTTTAAAATGCAAATGATACAGTAGTTAAAATTCTTATTGTTCAGGTATATTAAATTTTCTGTATTTTTTGGGACATACTAAATTTAAATTAGCAAAACAGGATTCAGGAAAAGTAGACAAGAATAATTAAGTATTTTCCATTAGAGAATTATGATGGATAAAAGATTAATAACTCTTTTAAGACAAAATTCTTTAAAGATTTCCTTTTGAATTGCAATCTGTAAAAAAAAAAAAAAAAATCTTGTATTGCATTGCAATTCAACACATTATTTCTTCCTGTTGCTATAGAAACTAATTCTGGTGCAGCTGTGATTGCTAATCAAAATTCTAACATTATACAACCTTTTCCCCCTTAGTATTTCATTTTATTTTTAGTTACAAAATAATAAATTTCAATGGTAAGTTCATAACAATGGTCAAAACATTAATGCAAAGATTTTTTAAAATGTAAGCCCTTTCCTTTGAAAATAAGGAGGTATTCTTACTGTGTAGTTTCAATATGAATAACAAGAAAACAAAGCATTTTAGCTGAATTACAAAGGTCTATAATTGCTGTATTACATCAACATTGTGAAGCACTTAACTGCTTCATAATCCTAAATTGCTACTATTTCAACCATCTATTTTTGAAGTGTCTGGTTATTTGGTATTATAAAAATGAAAAAATAAAAAAAATCCTCAGAATGCCTGAAGTCTTTTAACACAAAATGGGAGTGAAACTTCCTTATTGTTTTATCTTCAAAGAATTGATATCACATCCCCAATTTATGTCATAAGTAAAAGCTAATTAGTTCTCATTCTTGCCTTTATTGATATATACTCCCCAACAAACTGTACTGTTAACATCATCCAATATAGTCCATGTATGTTTTACAGGCCAGAATGGAGTTATGTTTTGGGTTTTTGTTTTTGTTTTTTTTTGTCTTTCTAAAATCATTTGTTCTTTTCTACTTCATAAAACAAATATAAAAACAAATCACCAATTTATACACAACAAAAAATGTATTCTGTCTCTATGTATATACACATTCAACAGGCCTTAAGCTGAATCTAAAATAAAATCTTTGGTATGTGTTATAGTATCAATTATGGTATGTTATTTGCATATACTATCACAAAGCTTTAATTTGGTATATCAAGAAAACAGATGAAATTTATTATTTCAAGTTGTTGATTGAGTTTAATAAAAACTCAGATGTAAAAACATAACATTTTTTATGGTTTAACAGGGTAGACTGTGTCCAAAATTAATCTGAAAACAAATTTAGAAGTTCCATGGCCTTTTCTCAAGAACACTAAATAAAAAATGAAAAATACAAATCTAATTTATCTATCCTTTCTGAGCCTCACCTACCTCAGGGGGTTACTGTATTGATTAATGCTAATATGATCACTATAATAACAACTAAATTTACCGACACTATGAAGCACTGCGCAAAGCACTTAAAACATTAACTGAGTTAATCTTCAAAAATTACAATAAGGTTGATGCTATTACAATTCCTGATTTACAGATGAGCAAATAAAATCATCAGAGATGTAAATAAGTTGTCCACAGTCACATAGCTAGTGAATGGAA
The DNA here is from genome assembly GCF_000001405.40 of Homo sapiens. Classification (NCBI taxonomy): domain Eukaryota; kingdom Metazoa; phylum Chordata; class Mammalia; order Primates; family Hominidae; genus Homo; species Homo sapiens. The sequence goes on from NC_000001.11 coordinate 210,074,367, forward strand.
GAGGTAGAATTAGAACCAGGTAGTCTAATACCAAAACCCACATTCTTAGCTCCTGTTAAGTACTGTATAGACCATAAATTATTATATGAGCATAAGGTATTGATACAAACATAGGCACTCTGTCACCCAACTGCTGCCCTAAAATTTACATTGTTTATTAATAATGTTGGAAGAGGTATACTTCACTCTGTAAAAAAATTTCTGTTAGGATGTTCTCAGGTGACTACAGTCCCAATTCTGTAAATTCTTTACTGTCGGAAGAAAATGCCCTCAGAAAGCAATACATTTTTTCCCAACTCTCCATAATAGTGAAATGGGAAAAGTTCCCTTGTCCCCCTCTCAGGGCGTGTGATGGTGGTGTGGATTGCTTCTTCAGTGCCCCGCTACTCAAACCTCTAGGGGAGCATACAGACTGGCAGGCTGTGGGGCTCTGACCCCATGGCAGTGTCTAGAGATGAATGTTTACAACTGAAGCCCCAGTGGGCATGTGTTACAGGGTGCTCTTTTAGTTTAGCCATCCATAGGCGGCTTGTGTTAGTCAGCTCAATTAGACCCCTGCCTTATCGCAAGGACAGAGAGCTTTCTGTATCCCAGGGTTCTTGCCTTAGTGTACTGGAAGAATCAGATTACACGTGGGCTTGGAGAATGAGTACAAGGTTTTATTGAGCGCAAGTAGCTCTCAGCAGATGGGATAGCCAGAAGGGAGATGGTTTTCCCCTGGAGTCCGACCGCTCAGCGGCCCGGGCTCTCCTCTGACTACCCCAGCCAAACTTGGCCTCGTCCAGCCAAACTTGGCCTTATCCAGCCAGTCGATGGCCTGTGGGCGTGCCAGCTGACGTGTGCTCTTCTGCTGGTCTTCCGCTGGCGTGCTCCCCTCGATGTCCTCTCGCTGTCCAGCTGTTTGTGTCTTCTGCTGATGTGTTCTTCTTGACGTCTAGCCACTTGTGTGCCTGCCTGCTAGGGTCTCGAGGGTTTGTTTTTTTTTTTTTTTTTGAGACAGAGTCTCCCTCTGTTGAGAAGTGCAATGGCACAATCTCAGCTCACTGCAACCTCCACCTCCTGGGTTCAAGTGATTCTCCTGCCTCAGCCTCCTGAGTAGCTGGGATTACAGGTGCGTGCCACCACGCCCGGCTAATTTTTGTATTTTTAGTAGAGACGGGGTTTCACCATGTTGGCCAGGATGGTCTCCAACTCCTGACCTCGTGATCCGCCTGCCTCGGCCTCCCAAAGTGCTGGAATTACAGGCATGAGCCACCGTGCCTGGCCGGTCTTGAGGATTTTTATAGGCACAGGATGGGGGCGTGGCTGGCCAGGGTGGTCTTAGGAAATGCAACATTTGGGCGCAAAGACAGGAGTACCTGTCCTCACCTAGGTCTGTGGGCACAGGCCTGCGGGGGTAGAGCCCTTACCAGGGACCTGCCTTTCCCTTCCCAGCACTTCCCTGCCCTCCTTCCGTATCAGTAGTTCCCTTGTATAGATTTTCTGTTACCAAAGGTATATCTTTGCTATTAATAGGGACTTAAATTTGTGTTAAATAGTACCTGCATGATGGGTGTATTTTTTAAATATTAAGTATTATGTTTTATATAATTTTCTTTCCCATAGGCTTATCCCTTAAGCAAACAACTTTAAACTTTTTGATGGCAGCATTCTATCTTACTGGTTTTATGTTGCCTCCAACTAACACAGATTTGCTACTTCATTTATCCATTGAGATATTACTCTGTAGACTTTGGGAATAGTAAGAGCCATTTTCTCCACTTAGAATCTCAGAGACAAGTAGGAGAGTTTTATTGAGATACTTGACTTAATTGAATCTTTGATGATAATTTTGGGTCATGATTAATATTGATTACTAGGTGGAACCCCAAAAAAGCTGAAATTTAAGGTGCTCTTACTAATATAGATGCCATGGTGTATACTCCTGAATGACTTGATATGAGCAGTATCATATCAAAAAATTCACTCACAGTATATAATTCAAGAGTTTTACAACCATCACAATAATTTAATTTTAGAACATTCTCATCACACAAAAAATAAATCTTGTACCCATGAGCAGTCACTCCCCAGCACCAGCATCTAAGTAACTACTACTCATCTACTTTCTGTCTCTTTATATTTGCCTGTTCCTCGCCTTTCATATAAATGGAACAATACAAAAGGTGGCTGTATTAGTCCATTCTCACGATGCTATAAAGAAATACCCAAGACTAGGCTGTTTATAAAGAAAAGAGGTTTAATTGGCTCATGGTTCTGTACAGGAAGTATAGCAGCTTCTGCTTCTGGGGAGGCCTCAGCAAACTTAGAATCATGGCAGAAGAAAAATGGGGAGCCAGCGCTTCACATGGCTGGAGCAGGAGGAAGAGAGAGAGTGGGCAAGTGCTACACACGTTTAAACAGCCAAATCTCATGATAACTCACTCACTATCACGAGAACAGCACCAAGGGGAATGTGCCAACTCATTCATGAGAACTCCACCCACATGACTCAATCACCTCCCACCAGGTGCCTTCTCCAACAATGGGGATTACAATTCAACATGAGATTTGGGTGGGGACACAGCCAAACCATATCAGTGGCTTTTTGTTACTGGTTTCTTTCACTTAGCATAGTGTTTTGAAGGTTCTTCCTTATTGTAGAATTCCTTTTTATTGCTGTGTTAGGCCATTCTAGTGTTACCATAAGGAAATACCTGAGACTGGGTAATTTATAAAGAAATGAGGTTTAATTACCTTACAGTTCTGCAGTTCCAATAAGCATGATGCCAGCATCTTCTCGGCTTCTGGGGAGGCTTCAGGGAGCTTTTACCCATGGTGGAAGGCAAAGTGGGAACCAGCACTTCACATGGTGAAAGCAGGAGCAAGAGAGAGTCGGTGGGGGGGAGATGCCACACACTTAAAACAACCAGGTCTCAGGAGTACTCACTCACTGTGACAAAGACAGCCCCGAGCCGTGAGGGATCCACCCCATCACCCAAACGCTTGCCACCAGGCCCCACCTCCAACATTGGGGATTATATCTCAGCATGAGATTAGGTGGGGGCAAATATCCAAACCATATCAATTGCCAAATAGTATTAAATTGTATAGATGTACCACATTTTGTTTATCGTTCATCACTTGATGGTCACTTGGGTTCTTTCTACCTTTTGGCTACTATATGAGTAATGCTGATGTGAATATATGTACAAAAAATCGTTGTGTGGATACATGTTTTTATCTCCTTTGAGTAAATACAAATGTACAAGTCAAATTGCAGGGTCATATTGTAACTCTGTTTTTACAATTTTGATAACTGTTTTTTGAAATGATTGTACCATTGTACGTTTCTATCTGCAATTTATGAAAATTCCTGTTTTTTCATACCTACCGATACTTACTATTGTCTATATTCTTATCATAGATATTTTAATGGGGTATAAAGTGGTATCTGACTGTGATTTGGGGGAAATTTTTTTAAATAAAGAATTAAATACTGTGTTAAGTGCTATGGAAACTAGATGCAGAATGGTGCCACAAAGGAAGGGATTGTTAAACAGACCAGAAAAGGTTTTATACTAGAACTGAAGTCTTGGACATTGAAAACAAAGGATATCTCCATGTTGATGTTGGAAACAACATTATAGCAAACACCACTGAAGCATAAAAATATGCATCTAGGCCGGGCGCGGTGGCTCACGCCTGTAATCCCAGCACTTTGGGAGGCCGAGGCGGGCGGATCACGAGGTCAAGAGATCGAGACCATCCTGGCTAACACGGTGAAACCCCGTCTCTACTAAAAATACAAAAAATTAGCCGGGCGTGGTAGCGGGCGCCTGTAGTCCCAGCTACTCGGGAGGCTGAGGCAGGAGAATGGCGTGAACCCGGGAGGCAGAGCTTGCAGTGAGCTGAGATCACGCCACTGCACTCCAGCCTGGGCGACAGAGCGAGACTCCGTCTCAAAAAAAAAAAAAAAAAAAAAAAAAAAAATGCATCTATTTCAGGGAACTGTAAATGGCCTGACAGGGTTGGTACAGTGATTTGATAACTGCATGTGGATCATGAAATCAGTTTAGTAGGTCTTGACAAACACTAAAAAAGTGATGTGCCATGACAAATATTTAGGAAAAACAAATTGTATTTCTTATAAAATATGGTTATTGCACATACTAAGAATATTACTTAATGACTCTTTTCCCCCCATAATTTAAGACATATACTTTTAAAATGTATTTATGGTGTGGGTTCTGGTTCAAGAGTTTGAAATTCACAGGTCTAGAGTGTACATTGAAGGACAAAAAAGTCATGAAAACATGTTACCCTAGTGTGGACTCTAGAAATATCAAGCATGTTAGAAAAAATTTTCATTGACCGTCTATGAATAATATGATATACGTATGAATTTTTTTTTTTTTTGAGACAGGGTCTTACCCTGTCGCCCAGGCTGGAGTGCACTGATGTTATCATGGCTCACTGTAGCCTCGACTTCTCAGGCTCAAGTGATTCTCCCACCTCAGCTTCCCCAGTAACTGGGACTACAGGGTTATGTGCCACCATGCCTGGCTATTTTTTTTTTTCAATCTTTTTGTAGAAACGAGTTTTCACCGTGTTTCCCAGGCTAGTCTTGGACACATGAGCTCAAGCGATCAGCCCGTCCTGGCCTCTAAGTGCTGGGATTATAGGTGTGAGCCTCTGCGCCCAGCATGTATGAATCCTTTAAAGCTATAGTATTGTAACAATTTTTTAATCATTGTTTTTTTTTAGCCTGAGTAGATGCCTTGTAAAACTATCTAGGTCGGTGTTTCTCAGCCTTTTTTCATCATTGCTCCCCTACAGAGATCATTTCAATTTAATTTAAATAAATCAATAAATTAATTAATTTGAAAATAATCTCTATATAATAGGGTACTATGTTCACTATTTGTGGGATGGGTTCAATAGAAGCCCAAACCTCACCATCACACAATATAACAATTATATAACTATAATTGTTACCGTTATATCCATGTGACAAACCTGCATATGTACCCACTAAGTCTTAAAAAAAATTCTACCTAATGAGAAGATAAATACAAAGGAATAAGTTTTTTGTCAGGTAGGGTTGTGTTTTGGTAACCCATAAAACGTAATAGTGAAGATATTTTTGCCATCACTCCAAAAACCACTTGTGGCTCATTTGGGCGTGACATTGTCCGAGTTGAGAATGCATATCTAGCTTATTCCTATTTTGTTTAAAATTAGAGGACTTAGAATTTTTACCTCAGCCCATGAAGGAGTAGCTGCTAAAGGACTTGCTTTCCTGCCAGAAATAATTAGAACACTGGAAAAAAAAATGTAAGAAAAAACTATTTTGAGTCATTGGACAGTAGGCAGGGCAGGGATATGATCCATGAGAGAAAGCAAACGAATGAGGAAATACCTATGAAGACCCCAGCTTATTACTTAGAGACAATTTTGAGGCTGCAATGCAAGGAGGGAAAACCAAAATGGAATCTGGCAGTCTCCAAAAATATTGATTGAAATTAACATTGTAATTTTGGACAATCTTCCTTTCAAAATTTAATAGGGAATTATTTATCAAGAGTCTTTTAGTTTCAGTATAGTTGAACAAAGTAAAAAGAAATTCTGGTCTTTGTTGATATTGAGTTGTCCTCATAGTATTTTAAAGGTGATAAAATATATATTGTTAAATTTAATTCTAGATTTATCTAGTTTGGTTTTGTGAAGTTTTCTGAGGAATACCAATTATCTTTTTAATTTTGTCCTCAAAAATTGCTGCATTATTTAGGATAATTCAGTGAATTTAAAGCAATGGATTTGAAATATCTACTCTGTATATTTTAAACCAGATCAGCCTTTTAGCAGGAACACTTGTCATTTCATTTAATTGTTTAGGCAATTTTGTGAATAAAACACCCTCCAGTGTCCCCTAAAAGAAATCTGAAGTCATTTTCAGAATCATAATTTAGAGTCATAATATCATGTAGTCAGATTAGAAGGAAATTTTTAAAATAATTGTTTTCTTGGCTTTTTTCTAACAGCCTGGTATTTCTGTGACATGTTTCAGTTGGAAGAGTTTTATAACTGAATAGTCACACCTCTTGATATCACGTACTCTTTATTTTCTTAATGTTACAACAGAAAATATAGTGTGAGTTCATGACATGGGAACCCAGAGGTTTCACTGCCCTGCCAGTCATGGTTGGGTCACATTGAATACCTCTGCAACAATTATTTTGCCCTTTATTCAACAAACTGTTTAAAAATTGTGATGTAGCAACTGCATTTCAAGCAAGTTGCTGGGCACTGCAGGTACAAAGATAAGAGACAGTTTCTGCTCTTTCAGGAAGCTCACATTAACATCTAAACAGAGATAGAAAAGTTAATGTTAAATGTTAACATAGTGCAATACATTGTAAATGATGGAAGCAACGTGTGCTGTAGAAATAAGTACTTAGGACCACTTAACCCAACATGCATGCATAGATGGATGTGTTTGGGGAGAGCGTGGTTATGTTTGGGGATGGGGTGACAAATGCAACTGGGAAGGATAGGAGAGAGTGAATCTTTGAAATTCTTCAAAGAGGTAACAACTAAGCTGATTCTTGCAGGATAATATGTGAACTTACCCAAGTAAAAAGGAGGAGGAAGTGAAGGATATCACAGGCCAAGGGAAGGGCATGTACCAAAGAGAGCATAAAAGACCATAGCGCATTGAGGAAATTGCCAGTGTACGGCTGTGACTGGATTGAGGGGTATAAGTATTCTGAGAAGGAGAGGCTGAGAGATAAAGCTGGAGCAGGAGCTGGATGTCTGAGACTTTTCTTAGTGCATGCTAAAAAACATTTAGGATATCGTCTTGAAAGTAATGTGTATACCTTTAAAGAGTATAGAACCGGCTCTGAAGAACTATAATACTATATGATATGAACAAAACATTTTGTCCCTGGAACCGGAGCAAGACTAAGTCTGCTTCTGGGTATAGTTAAGGATGTTCAGGCATACCTGAGAGATACTGCAGGTGCAGTTCCAAACTGTTGGAATAAAGTAAATTTTGCAATAAAGCAAGTAACACGATATTTTTGGTTTCCTAGTACATATAAGTGTTATGTTTATACAATACTGTAGTATATTAAGTGTGTACTAGTATTATGCCAAAAACAATTTACATACCTTAATTAATACTTCATTGCTAGAAAAATGAGCACATGCTGTTGGGAAAATGGCACTAGTAGACTTGCTTGATGTAGGGTTGCCACAGACCTTCAGTGTAACTGCTGTATCTTTGAAGCACAATAAAGCAAAGCACAATAAAACATGATATGTCTGTGGTTTTTAATGTGATATAGAATAAACACAGTTGGAGAGATAAAACTATAGCCTCAGCCTCATAAGCATCATGAACTACCCAACTACCTAGTATCCAAAGCACTTCACAAAACAGAATAAACAATATCATAGTAATCCTATAATCATAATAGCACTATAGTTTGTAGGAAGTTTGAATTAAAACCTGACAAGCATATGATAGTGAAACATCTAGACAGTCTTGATTAAAGATGAATATGATTAAGCATAGGAATTAGATTCATTTGGAAAAAAGTCATGCTGAGCTCAGTTGTGGAAATTCCTCGATGCTATTTGTAGAGAGAAAAGTTAACGTTAAATGTTAAGATTTTCAGTTTCTATTTGACAGCAGCAGGAATTCAGTTTAAGGAGCAAAGCAAAGCAGTTGAGTAAATGTAGTTGTTAGAATATTTAAAAGTGTTTTCCATCTAAGAAAGAGTTAAACTTGGAATATGTGGGGTTAAATTTTAGAAATCATGATATTTGGTGCATATTTGAGTTTTAAGTTGTATTGGAAACGTAAATGTTTTCAAGCCATAGAGCCATTCTAGGTGACATCAGTCTTCCAGTCTTTCTCCTCCCAAGTCCATACATCGAGCCAAACCATTGGCAGCTAGGAAATAATGGAGACCAACCCTTATTCTAAGCAAAGTTGAGAACCGAAGAGACTACTAGGAATTCTATCCACCGAGGTTTTCCTTTTCTATTATCTTTCAGGGCCACCTCTGAAAGGTACTAGAATACCAGAACATTTCGCTTCTGTTGGTGTTGGTATATCACTAGATATAATTTTTCTACTCAGTTAGCTAGTCATGATGTATTCCCCGTGAGACTATGAGTGTAGATAAGCAAGAGAAAACAGGCATAACTATAAGACCTACCTATCTCTTAGAGCCTACTTAGCCTGATAATTATCATCCAATATATGCCAACTTTTGTTAAAGATGGTTTGCAGCTGGACATCCTCAACTTTATAGCTAGGAGATCACATGTCATCTGTTTCATACTGGACAGGTTGGACCACATTGCTAACTGGTGTTCCTTGGTCTTCCAGATAGCCTCTGTTTGATACTAATAGTAGACCAAGAGCTGTTTCTCAAAACAGAAATGCTTTTCACTTTACTTGCTGATGTGAGTATGGTCTTGCTTTACAGCTCTAAGGGTCAAGAAATGAGAGGCAGTGAATTGATTTTTCACTAGAGAAATAGATGTACTGAATAAGATTGTACTGGTAGAAAGTTGGTAGCTATACGTGCAGTCTGGTTTGAGTAATGGGTTATTTCTTTTTTTTTTTTCTTTTTTTGAGACGGATTTTCACTCAGTCACCCAAGCTGGAGTGCAGTGGCATGATCTCTCCTGATTGCAACCTCCACCTCCCAGGTTCAAGAAATCCTCCCACTTCACCCTCCCAAGTAGTTGGGATTGTAGGCATGTGCCACCATGCCCAGCTAATTTTTGGGGTTTTTTTGTATTTTTAGTAGAGATAGGGCCTCACTATCTTGGCCAGGCTGGTCTCAAACTCCTAACCTCAAGTGATCCACCCACCTCGGCCTCCCAGAGAGCTGGGATACAGGCGTGAGCCGCCATGCCCAGCCGAGTAATGGATTATTTCAAACCATCAGGAAAATAAATTAATTAAAGATTAGACTTTCAAGGCGTGACATAAAAATGATCTGAACTTTTTTTTCTAATAAAATGTATCTGAAGGTGCAAAAGAAGATTATATATTTATTTTATAACAGGGTCATGCTCTGTGGCTCAGGTTGGAGTGTAGTGGCACAATCATAGCTCACTGCAGCCTCAATCTCCTGGGCTCAAACGATCGTCTTTTAGTAGCTGCAGTTACAGGTGTGTGCCACAATGCTCAGCTAATTTTCAATTTTTTTTTTTTTGAGACAGGGTCTCACTGTGTTGCCCAGGCTGGAGTGCAGTGGTGTGATCATGGCTCACTGCTACCTTGACCTCCTGGGCTCAAGTGATCCTCCCACCTCAGCCTCCTGAGTAGCTGGGACCATAGACACACGTCACCACCCCTGGCTAATTTTGTATTTTTTGTAGAGATGAACTTTCGCCACATTGCCCAGGCTTAGTCTCGAACTCCTGGGCACAAGCTGTCAGTCCACCTTGGCCTCCCAAAGTTCTGGAATTACAAGTGTGAGCCATTGCACCTGGCCAGATTTTTAATTTTTTGTAGAGACGGAGTCTCACTATGTTGCCCAGGCTGGACTGGAACTCTTGGTCCCAAGCAATCCTCCCACCTTGGCCTCCTAAAATGTTGGGATTATAGACGGGAGTCATCATGCCTGGCCTAGAAGATAATTTTTGAAAATCTATAGGCCTCCACTGCAATTTTACCATCAGGGCTTCCCAATGATATTTTTTAGCGCCATTACTTACAACAGACATTTTAGCGCCACTTGGTTTGCTGGGTCTCAAAGGTCAGGCGTAGAGCCTCCTCTACTGTATCCTCAGTCATCTGGAGAGACTTACCTTGCTCTGCATGATACTCAAAGCTATTAGCTTTTTAGTTTACCTTATAAATGGATAAGAGCTATATATTAAAATATAGAATGTGCTGATTTCAAAGTGTAAAGAGGCCAACAAAGCTTTTTGTCTCCTTGTTAGGAAACAGACAAGGAATATAAATTCTCTTTGACTTTGGGAGGAATATTCTTATCATATCCCTGGATCCTTGGGAACATTATTGACATGGCAAGCCCATGTATTTTTGTAGGATTTAGTTCTCGATTCTGTCTCATGTGTGTATCTTAACCAAGGCACTTCATCTCTCAACTCTTCTACTCTCCTGGTCATAATAGCTTGCTGTCATCAGAGCAAGCTTGATCCTTCAAGGAAAAGTAATATGGAATATTGAGGCAGCCAAGGTTTCTGCAGAGCAGATCGTGGCATAGAACAAGAATTCTTTGTTTCCTTAAAGCAGGTCAGTAAATGTATTCCTGTCCTTGCCAGGTGAAGACAACCTGTTAACTTTTATTCTTTCTGGATAAATATAAAGGAAAAGAGCATTCGTAGGTTAAAGCTACATATCAGATACCAAAGCTGTCTTAATTTGCTCAATAAGAAGACTCCATCTGGAGCAACAACTGCAGTTGAAGTCATCTTCTAATTAAGTTTATGATAATCTGCCATCATTTTTCAAGCCGACTAATTTTTGCAGTAGCCAAACTAGTGAAAGCATTTGTCAAACCTGCAATTCTCTAATCTCCGATGGTAGACTAGTCTCTGCCTTTCTTTTGAGATGCCGTGTTACTGGAGAAAGGAAGCTCTGTTGGTTTTCAGCTGTCCTTTCCTGTACCATGCAGGCACTGCCTAGAATGCCAAAGTTTGGATTCCACCAATTGCTAAGAATATACATTCTAATTATAAACCCAAGAACTGGAAAAATAACAACAATGTCATTTCTTAGCATTATCCTTAGGTATTTGATGTTACCTGATGCTATTATATGTGAGATTTTTAAAATTTTTGCTTTCTAATTGATCGAGTGTAGAAATTCATTTTTTAAAATATTGATCACATTGCCAGTGAATTTGCTAAATTTACCAACTCTTAGTAGATTATCTCTAAATTATTTTGGGTTTTCTACATCACAATCATCATCTGAGACTAATGACTGTTATTTTTCTCTTTCCAATCATTTTACATCTTCTTTTTCTCCCCTTATTGCCCTGGCTAGGACCTTTAATACATTGTTGACTAGAAGTGGTGATAACAGTCATCCTTGTCATTCCTGATCTCAGAGGTAAAACTTTCAACATTTCACCATTAAATACGATGTTTGCTTTAGGACTTTCATGGATACCTTTTAGGAGATAAAGGAAATTGCTTTCTATTCCTAGTGCACTGAGAGATTTTATCATGAATGGATAATGAATTTTATCAAATGCTTTTAGTAAGTCTTTTACAATTATCATATTACTTTTTATATTTGTTCTTTCAGTGCAATAAATTAGATTGATTAGTTCTTAAATGTTACATCTTAAATGTTAAATGTTGCATGTATAGGATAACTGCATTCCAAGTTGATTGTGATATGGTACCCTGTTTACATAACTCTGGGTTAGATTTGCTAAAATTTTGTATAGATTTTTTGTATCTGTGTTCACGGGAGAGATTGGTTTATACTTTTTCTTTCTTGTAAGATACTTTTCAGGTCCTGATGTCAAGGTTATTATGGCCTCATAAAATAAGTAGTCCCTCTTTTTTGTATCACCTGAAAAATTTTGTGTAAAATTGTTATTTTTTCCCTTCTTTAAATAATAAGTTCACCAGTGAAGCTCTCTCTGGGCCTGGAATTTTCTTTATTGGGGAGGTTTTAAAATAAGGATTCAATTTCTGTAATAGATAAAAGATTATATAATTTCCTGTTTCTTCATGGATTCATTTTGACAGATTGTGGAGTTATTTTATAGAGGTATCCTATCTGTTTTATTAGAGATATTCCTCACTGCATTTTATCAGGTGGGGTACAATTTTGATTTGTCCTGTTTCTCATAATGTTCACTTTGATCTCTAGTTTAAGCTGGTATCTACCAGGTTTCTCCACTGTAAAGGTACCCTTCGTAATTAAAAAAGTATTTTGTGGGAAGATACTGTGTAACTACGTACATATCCCATTCCTCAAAAAATTTTTCACTTATTCATATATTTATTTATATCTATATGGACTCATAGTTTTCTCATTTCTTCAGTGAGCAATAATCAGTTACTATATTTATTTTGAGCTCAGATGGTTAGTGGTCAGTGGGAGCACTGTCAAGCTGATTTATTTGTCCTTTTGACATATCCCCATCAGTCTTTGAACATCTCCTCACTTTCAATACACAGACTCTTCTAGGCTCATCATGTACTTTACCTGGCCTCACCCTGGAATTAGCCATTTCTTTATAAAGAATCCTGGTTCCTATTAGTGGATAATAGATTTAGAAGCCAAGACCCAGGCGCTCAGTGGACTCACTGCTGTTGAGGTGGTGGTGGTCACAAATCTCCTCAGTGAGCAAAGCTAGAATATTTATGTGTGGGTGTATGTGCAAATATATGCACACATATATGCACATTTGCACTAATAACTTCTATCTATGTATTTTTAAACTATGAGTTTATGTGGATTGTCCAATTCCAATCCAACACCACAGAATTTGTTTTAGTTTTTTCTTTTTTCATATTTGTAACTCCCTTTTCCATCAGTAAGAAACCTGGCTGCCATTAACCTTAAATATATTTATTATTTGATCAGTCTGCACACATGTTCTCCCATCTCCCTGCACACATGCCCCCTTCACTCTGTTTGAGTTTGGATATCTCATGCTGCCTTTCCCACTTGTGGGTGTCCTCATGACCAGCTGAGCATGGGCTCTGATATCCGAGGTCAGCTTGCCCCACATTGGGTGCCCTCATCGTCCTATCTAGGCCCTGACTTCCTGCCTGAGTTTTAGTACCATGGTCCAGGACTCCTCCTTACTCCACATAGTTGCCCTCTTCACCCCACTTCGCCACACTCCAGGCCACCCTCACACTGGATACCCCGCCCATGCTGCTTAGGCTCTAGTATCCCGATAGGCCACCTGTCTGTGCAGATGCACACCTTACCCTGCTCAGGCTCTGATATACTTCACCAGATACCCCTGTGTGTGGCACCCTCCTCACCCTCCTGGATTTTCATAGCCCACCCCAGTCGCCTGGCTCTATAGCTCTGATACTTCTCATTCTCTGACTGCACATTAGGTTGCTCTCCTTCCTCAATGCGAACACACTCCTTATCTTGTTTGGGCTCTGTTGCCCCAGGCCAGGCTGCCCTCCCATGGGGAGCTTCCTTATCCTGCCAAGGCTCTGACTCCCCTCACTGGGCCTTTCTTACCTGCTTGGGCTTCAGCATGCTCTGTAGGACTGCCCCCATGTATGTGTGATGTCTTTACCCTACTTTACACCTCAGTCTGGTCACTTTCTGAATTGAAAACCCTTCTCACCTGCCCTTGGGTTCTGACACTGCATGTTTGATTGACTCCACTCCCTGGTATGGACATGGACACCCTTCTGTCATCTCACTGGGGCCCAGGCCCTGAGATACCACACTGGGCTGGACATCTTCCCCCTTGGGCTCTAATGTGGCTCTGCACCGCTGTGGCTTCCTTTGCCACCATCAGTGCAGCCCTCTGCCTTCCTCTGCCCCACTCAGTGGCTTTAGGGCTGAAATTTTCAGAAAGAGAAGAACAAAGGTGAAATTTCTGTCTTTTTAATGTCTGTGGGATTTGAAATGATGTCCTCTTTTTATTCCTGGTATTAATACTTTATGTAATCTCTTTTTTTCTGGACTCGTCTCTTCTAGTAGTTTATCAATTTTATTCGTGTTTTCAGTGAATTTTATTTTGATGCTTTCTGTTATATGCTTGGTTTTTTATTTAATTTCTGCTCTTTATTATTTCATCCCTCTACTTTCTTTGGATTTAATTTGCTGTTTTTGTTAACTTTTTTTTTTACAGTGAGTTTTTTTTTTTTAATTATACTTTAAGTTCTGGGATACATGTGCAGAACATGCAGGTTTGTTACAAAGGTATACATGTGCCATGGTGGTTTGCTGCACTGATCAACCGGTCATCTACATTAGGTATTTCTCCTAATGCTATCCCTCCCCTAGCCTCCCACTTGCTGACAGGCCGTGGTGTGTGATGTTCCCCTCCCTGTGCCCATATGTTCTCATTGTTCAATTCCCACTTATGAGTGAGAACATGCGGTGTTTGGTTTTCTGTTCCTGTGTTAGTTTGCTGAGAATGATGGTTTCAAAGGATTATAAATCATTCTACTATGAAGGCACATGTACACGTATGTTTATTGCAGCACTATTCACAATAGCAAAGACTTGGAACCAACCCAAATGCCCATCAATGTTAGACTGGATAAAGAAAATGTGGCACATATATACCATGGAATACTATGCAGCCATAAAAAAGAATGAGTTCATGTCCTTTGCATGGACATGGATGAAGCTGGAAACCATCATTCTTATTTTTGTTAACTTCTTGAAGTGGATTCTTAGACCATTGTTTTTCAGCCTCCCACCTCCCCCCAATATTTTATGCTCAGACCTATAAATTTCCTTCTAAGCACAGATTAGCCACATTCTACAAGTAGTTGTGTAGATCATTTTCATTATCATTCTCTTCAGGATATTTTTTTTTTATTATACTTTAAGTTCTGGGATACATGTGCAGAACATGCAGGTTTGTTACATAGATATACACGTGCCATGGTGGTTTGCTGCAACCGTCAATCTATCATCTACATTAGGTATTTCTTCTAATGCTATCCCTCCCCTAGCCCTCCATCCCCTGACATGCCCCAGCATGTGATGTTCCCATCTCTGTGTCCATGTGTTCTCATTGTTCAATTCCCACTTATGAGTGAGAACATGTGGTGTTTGGTTTTCTGTTCCTGTGTTAGTTTGCTGAGAATAATGGTTTCCAGCTTCATCCATGTCCCTGCAAAGGACATGAACTCATCCTTTTCTATGGCTGCATAGTATTCCATGGTGTATTTGTGCCACATTTTCTTTATCCAGTCTATCATTGATGGGCATTTGGGTTGGTTCCAAGTCTTTGCTATTGTGAATAGTGCTGCAGTAAACATACATGTGCATGTGTCTTTATAGTAGAATGATTTATAATCCTTTGCCTATATACCCAGTAATGGGATTGCTGGGTCAAATGGTATTTCTGGTTCTAGATCCTTGAGGGATCGCCACACTGTCTTCCACAATGGTTGAACTAATTTACACTCCCACCAACAGTGTAAAAGCATTCCTATTTTTCCACAACCTCTCCAGCATCTGTTGTTTTCTGACTTTTTAATGATTGATATCTTCAGGATATTTCTAATTTGTATTGTGATTTCTTCTTTGATCCATGGATTATTTTGAAGTATATTTTAATCTCTAGTTATTTTCGTTTAGATTTCTATACATTTTCTAGCTATATTTTTGTTTCTGATTTCTAGTTTAATTCTGTAGTGGTCATGTTACCAGTGGATGTCTTGACTATGAGTCGTCCAGATTCTTGGTGTTTTGAACAAAGAATTGGACAAAATGCATGAACAAAGCAACGAAAAAATCAAGCAATGAACGCATAGATTTATGCTAGCATAGATTTAAGCATAGTGAAACGAAAGTACACTCCACAGAGCAGCCCAAGAGCACTGGCTACAGAATTTTCTGGGATTTAAATAACCTCTAGCGGTTTCCCATTGGTTACTTGGCTACATCCTATGTAATGAAGGACGGGCCTGTGACCAGTCTGATTGGTTGGAGGAGGCGACCAATCAGAGGCTGAAGTGAAGTTACAGCGTTACACATGAAGACTTGGCTGGTCACCAGTCTGATTGTGGGAGGAGACCAATCAGAGGTACTTCCCATTTTTCATCTGCCACACAGTGCAAAGGGAGTAGCCTCTGATCCTTTTGTTACTTGGGTGTGGAGAGGTGGGGTTTTACTTTTGATTCAGTTCTAGGAAGTCAGCATGGCCTTAGGTTTCCTGCCTTCGGACTTTATTCTCCTGCCTCATTTAGAAAACATCCTCTTCATGCTTCCAATTTGTGAAATGTATTGAGACTTAATTAATTGCTCAGCATATAATCAATTTTGGCAGATTTCCACAGGCACTTGAAAAAAAAAAGAATTCTGCAGTCGTTGAATATACATCATTTTTTTTTTAGAGCTGTGGTTCTCACCACTGTTTTAAAAGTTAAGAACCACAGGTCATATTCCGTGTGTGCACACATGCTATTTTTTCTATGGTAAGAAAATACTTCATCTTGTTTTGTAGGTGCTATGCAATATGCAGATGGTAAATTAAAATGCTTAAAATATATCCATGCCTAAATCCTCTTATAGATATATCATTTATATAAAAATCGGGGTATGAAATTAGGTAATAAAGCAGGAACTAAAGTAATGGGAGGGCATCATCACGTGGTGTTTGATAGTTCCACTAGAAATTTCTTCTTAAGGTTGATGTTTACAGTGTAATTTAACAATAATAATATAAATTTTGTTACTTTATAAAATTATTTAAAAATTTTTCTTATATCAATTACATTTAAGCCAACTCTTAGTACACTATGTAGAATAAAAACAGATTGCAAACATTTAAAAAGGAGGGATCTTCATAACTATATTTTTTAATGAAATTTTTATTCCACCTACATTTGTGTGTTCTACACTTTAAAAAATAAAATGCAAAAATGAAGTGAAAAGTAAAGATAAAAGGGGGTGGTAATACTATTTTCAAAACTTGGAGGATATGGTGTGGCTAAAATAAATTTTATATATTCACAGCTTTAATGTTGTTTCTCTCAAATCCAGAAAACAGTAGTGAAGTCTACCCATTGAGCCCACTTAACATCTTTAAATATCACAAACCCATTTTGTGTAACTTGTGCCTTGGTCTCTGGAGCAAGAGTTACACTAAATCTAAACTAGCGCCAGATGCCTGGAGCTCAGCTGTGAAAATACACTTAGTTGGCCCACAGCTAGGCAAGGACCTAATATAAAAAAGCAAACCAAAGGAAATAAGGTGTAACATCATTACCAAACCAAAATTATACTGTGCTGGCATATCAAAAGGAACCTCAGAAAAGGATTATTATATTGAGGAAAAATATAACCACAGGCAGAAAAAAAATACTCTGATCAAGAAAACAGGCCTGGCGCAGTGCCTTATGCCTGTAATCCCAACACCTTGGGATGCCGAGGCAGGCGGATTGCTTGAGCCCAGGAATTCAGGATCAGCCTGGGCAACATGGCAAGACCCTGTCTCTACAAACAGTTTTTAAAATTAGCCAGGCATGGTGGCTCATGCCTATAGTTCCAGCTACTTGGGAGGCTGAGGAGGGAGGATCACTTGAGCCTGGGAGGTCAAGACTGCAGTGAGCCATGTTCACTGGATCATGAACTGGATCATGTTCATTTTGTACCAACATTCTTTCTCTTTCATCCTCCCTCCTGGATCCTACATTGTTTAGGCATCTACTCTTTTCCATATAGATATGAAGAGTGAAGCTGGCCCCATCCCCAGCTTCAAATTTTGATGGCTTCTGATTAATTTAAGCCAATTATGGTCATCCCATTTCTTCTACCAATGATGGATTTAGGAATAGACATGTGACCCAGGTCTGTGCATTAAGATCTGTGAGGCAATATGCTCAAGACTTCTAGGAAAGATCACCACTCTTCTAAGAAAAAAGGTAAAGGAGTAGATGGTGTGCTGACTCCCAAAACCACTTACGTTGGAAAATTTTTAATTGACTTTGTGTTGCAGTATTTAGGTATTACCGTTTAATTCAGTGGCTAATTAAATATGTACTTTTAAAGGGGCAGAGGATGCCAGTTTAATGATTAATAAACTATATCCATTGAGAATATATTTGGAAACAGTAGAAAATCCAACTATTATAGTTTTTTTTCTTTTTCTTTAACAAATAGGGATTTGTCTCAGGTGTCAAGTTTGGAGGTAGGTATTTAGTGATGTTTCAGATACCGGGCTTTTCATTTTCCTGCTTCTGCCTTCCTAGCTTTCATTCTCATACTTGTCACTGTATGGTCACAAGGTAGCTGCTGCTACTCCTCCAAGAGGGAAGCAGGCGAAAGGCAAAGGGACAAAGGGGCATGCCAGTAGAGTCTACCTGCTTTTATCAGGAAAACAAAAACTTTCCTGGAAGGTTCACTCTGAAATCTGCTTAGATCTCATTGGCCACTCCTAATCAGAATGCTGCTTAGGAGAAAAAGAGGTTATGGATGGAGTCAAGTCAGTCTGCCAGCGGTGGCAGCCACACATACTTACCTACCACATAAATGGATCAAGCCAATTAACTGCCTAAAACCACTTGTCTCTTTACTATTCTGGAATTCTGTGGGTTTTTTGGCTATGACTTGCAACATGTCTAATCTGTCTTCTTGAATTTAGCTTCAACTTTATTAATTCAGCCACTTTTTTACTTTTTGCTTACGTTATAAACTAAAGTTAGTACAGCCGGCCCTCCATGTCTGTAGGTTCTGCATCTGTGAATTCAACCAACCTCAGATGGAAAATATTTGAAAAAATGTATGGTTTCATCTGTACCAAACATACAGACTTTTTCTTATTTCCCACACAATATAGTATTACAACATTTACATAGCATTCACATTGTGTTAGACATTGTAAGTAACATAGAGATGATTTAAAGTATATGGGAGGATGTACTTAGGTTATATGTAAATACTACACCATTTTATAACAGGTACTTGAGCATTTTTGCATTTTGGTATTTGAAAGGGAATGGTGGGGTTAGAACCAGTTCCCCACATATATTGAGAGATGACTCTGTGGTTAGACTATTAGACTCACTAGGTAAGACATTTAGTTTTTCTTTTTTTTTTCAAAATTGGGGCCTCTGAGCAAATATGTAAATTTGTGCTACATTTGTGCAAATTATCATTTTTCATTTGAACCAAGCATTTTGGTAATTTTTAAATGAAGCTTATAGTTCTTATGTAACTTTTTATCTTAGGAAGAACAGAGGAACTATTGAATATTTGAACTGAACTCCATAACAATGATAGTACAAACTACTGTTTCAGGGTCCCTTTTGAGAAAAGAGATGCACAGTTCATTAAAAGAAAAAAAAAGATCAGTGTTTAAATTTAATGTTTAGTATTGCATTCAGGATTTATCTACAAAGACTTAGCTGTTCTTAAATTATTTACTGGACTCTGTTTCCTTATTTCCCTCCTGCCCCCAACTCTGTCCTTGTTCGCAGATATGTTTATTCTCAATCACCGAGGTAAATCATTGAGGTAAAAATTAAAAGGATAATTTAAGAGTGAAAGAAAATGTGGTTTCATGTTAACTGCTAGAGGTAGAGATGTCTACTATAGACAAGATGGAGTCATAATTTATAAAGAATACAGACACAGATGTAGAGTGGGATAGAGTGCCCTTATAATGGAGAAGAGACAGAACACAGCCTCCAGTCTTTGCAGATTGATGGATGTTCGCAAACAGGGAATGGGCCTGATTCACAGTGCACCTCATTCTAGGATTCTGGATCCAGGACAGATGTAGAAAAACATTTCTGACACTGCTAGCTGAATGCTAGTTTAAGTTCATCTCAGTAACTGAAGAATGTAGGTGAGTTCTTGTTGAACATAGGTGAAGAACAAGCAGAGGTATTATTATGTTTGTTTTTCCAACCATATTTGTATCGCTTTGACCCTAGGGTGGCCACAGATCATGGGGTAATAGATGAAGTATGTATACATCGGGATTGTTTTGAGAGAGACAAATAAGCTGTTTAATACTTATCACTCCCTAATTTTTATGATACATAACAGGATCTTTCTTCGTATATGACTTTTATTTTTCCTAATCTTATTATGCAGGAGGCAAGGAGTGGGAAACCAGATCATTTTATTTGTGCCTCTGAACTAGGGAAAAAGAGAAGTCATTAGTAAATCTAATAGTTATGTTGCCATCAATTTTTTGATCCAGTTTTCAAAAGTTATTTACAATTATTGTAGACTATACTGTGTGTTGAGGCTAATTGGAAACAGTGACCAGATTCTTAATCATTATCAGGAAACTGCATTCAGAGAATGAGAAGAACACCCCCGCTGGATGAATTGCAGCCACCACCATATCAGGATGACAGTGGTTCTCCCCATCTGTCATGTACACCCTCAGAAATTGGGGACAGTAAATGTGAATTTTCCCACTGCAGCAACAGTCCAAGATGCTCATATAACAAGTGCCCAAGTGAAGGAAGCACAGGTCATGAAATAGAAAGTTTTCATAATAAAGGATATGAAGAAGATGTTCCAAGTGACAGCACTGCAGTCCTGAGCCCTGAAGTAAGTAAAAGCACATAGAAGTTTGAAAATGAATGTTATTTGGAGGATAATAATCCTGTGCTTCTCCTCTTGGTAAGAAGAATTGATTTTATCACTTATTCCTTTGTAACTTATAGTACCAGTATCCATCCTTAATCTAATCTTTATCCAACAAACTTATCAGGAATGTCCCAACTAGTCTTCAGCTGCCCCCACTCCCCAACCCCAAGCCCCACCACCAAAAGAAGATGGGTACCTAAAGATGTTTTTTTTAAATACTTTGTATAAAACATTCTGGAATAATTTACCTGTTTATTTCATCTTGAGGTTACTATTTGTATTATTTTTATTTTATTTTGGATTTTTTTACTATTGGGAGGTTACTCAATGTTTCACAAGTCTTTCAAAATAATCTTATTGTATTTTCATATCATAGAAAATGCAAGGGATAAATGATGATCAGCTTTACTAATGAAATTTGAATCCATGGCTTCATGCATTCAGAGTGGCTGGTTGGTTGAGCTTTAAGTTTACTTACTGTTTCGGAGCAAAAATGTGAAAATTACAACAAAAATAATTTTGTGGCAGTTTTGAAGTATTACTGTATTCTAAAAAGAATTTGTTTTAATGTTTCTGTCATAATGAAAACTATATAAAGACAATCTAGAGTTTTTATAAGTTAGTATTTAGATTTACTTTCAAGTGTTTTTGTTTTTGTTTTGAGACAGAGTCTGTCTCTGTCACTCAGAACAGAGTGCAGTGGCACAGTCACAGCTCACTGCAGCTTCCTCCCACCTCAGCTTCCCAAGTAACTGATACTACAGGTGTGCACCACCACACCCACAAATTTTTTAATTTTTTTGTAGAGACAGGCTCTCACTATGTTGCCCAGGCTGGTCTCAAATTCCTGGGCTCAAGCAATCTTCCTGCTTCAGCCTCCCAAAGTGCTGGGTTTGCAGGCATAAGCCACTGCACCCAGCCTACTTAAAAGTTTTAGATTGCAAGTTTTTACTGTTTTTGTTCCAGACAACATTCAGTAATACTGAAATATGTCCGTATTCTTACCAGATGAATTTTCAGATCTGCTGCCAAAATTAAATAATAGGTGTAGTTTCCTAATACCCAGAACAATTAAGCTATGGATAGAATTTCCTTAATTTTAGGTTTTTCTTCTATAATTGTTAAAACTACTCTGTATCTGTTATTGCTTTTTTTAGTATTTCTAGTATTACAGTATCTGACCGAGAAGAAAATTGTATGCTGATATTTTAAGTTTAATATATCATTATTTTATGATTTTTCATGATGAATGTTTCTTTGTGTTCCATTACCTAAACAAATTTGAGACAGCTGTTTTGTAGCTTTGTAAACTACATATATAGCTCACAAGTTAACAGTGAAGCCTGGATTGTGGGATTAATAAACAACAACAATAATACCTATCATCACTTGTGTCAGGAATTTTGCTATGAGCTTTATGTAGTCTGCTCATTTAATTCTAACAACCACATCTTTAGGAAGTTATTATTTCCATTTTATAAATGAAAACATTAAGAGTCAGAGAGCTAAACAATTTGACCAAGTAGAAGCAGCTCTTAAATAGTGAAACTTTAGTTCCAACCCAGGTCTGTCTGACTGCCAAAACAGTGCTCTTAACAACTATATTATATTGCCTTTTTTGATCCAAAATGTTGTGTGTGAAATTACTTTGATTCAGTGGTACCCTCCAAACATTACCAGGCAAACTCTCTCAGAGGAGTAAAGGACCAAAGTAAGATGCTCAAATTATTGTGTGTGCATGTGTGTGTGTGAGAGAGAGAGAAAGAGAGTGTGTTTTAGTCCATTTCACATACAAAGCAAGAAGTAAGAGGAGCTGGATGAAATCAGAAATCCATTAACACACCTGGGGATAAGCTGTAAGTGAGTATCGGTAGCAAGACCACACTGTGTGAGTCCTGTTTTATGCAGTGCCCATACATCCTGTCTCACTGTCTTCTTTTCCATCAGCATTCCTATTTATGATGTAACAAGGACCAGAGTTGAAATTTGAACAAGGGTATCAAGAGCCAACAGCACACACTTGTTTGCTTTGTGGGAGAGATATAGTTATACTCCTGGCCACCAGTGAAGCTTGTCAACCTACTAGGCAGTTGTAGGTTTTATCTGCATTTCTTAAGTAGAGCACATGGGTGACAGAGCTGTCAGCCCAGAGGCTACATGATCGTGGCTTGTGCATTTCATCCCTTTCTATAGGTAACACTCATTTGATCCGTCAGATTTTCTATTTAATCTTTCTTTGGCATATGTTACAAGTTATTAACTATTTATATTTAATATCGTATGAATTCTGCCTATGTCTCACAAGCTGCTTCTTTACTCACTATCTATAGTTATCACACACTGTGAGTTTTGTCTGTATTTCAGAAGCTGCTAACTTGCTATCTGTAACCACTTCTTTGGAATTTCCTCCGTCCTGCTTATTTTTGTGTCTTCTGTAGTAGCATTGAATGTACTCAAACAATATAGCAAATGCACATTACAGAAATATTTAGATGTGAATGCCGATAGCCTATGCTAATATAAAATTCACTTTTGTGTTTTTTCAAGTTTATTTTGCATCCTTGTAATAGATATTATGTGTCAGATAGAAAATTCTCACTTTTCTCTTGGTTTAATCCAGGCTGTAGCTATCTTAGAGCCTATCTACATACATGATTAAACTGAGAGAGGAGAGAAGGTTCAGAAGAATTCCATGGGAAGGAGTTTATAAACGCTGTTGATAACCTATTGCTATCTAAATAAAGATTTTTTAAAACTGGTCCCATACCTTGAAAGGAAGGATTGTTTGCTTATTGCCTGTTTTCAGAATGCAGATAATGTCTTTTATCTGTCAGTGTTCCACCCTTTCAACATTGGGTTTCATAAGAGTTGTTGGAATTTTGAAAAAAAAGAAAAAACAATCAGGGCGGCACCAAGAGAAGTAAAATTCAAAAATAGCTATCTAGGACCTGATAAACATTTTTATTGCCTGAAAATCTTAGCTGTCGTGATGCTATTTTAGAAAATATTTAATTGAAATACCAAAGCCATATAATTAATAATCTTTAATTACCAATTATAAAGTAGTATACATTAACACATTTTGCTCTAAACCGTAAATTTTTTAACAGAATAAGAATATGTTTTGATTTTCTTATGCTACATTAAAAACTGAATTCTCTTTTGGGAATTTATTTCTTCTCCCCAAGTACTGTTCTTCTGTTGTTTTTTTTCCTGCATACATTATACCAACTAGCATATAAGATTTATAAGATCAAGGACTAACTGGGCATGGTGGCTCACACCTTTAATCCCAGCACTTTGGGAAGCCAAGGCAGGAGGGTTCCTTGAGCCCAAGAGTTTGAGACCAGCCTGGGCAACATAGACTTTTGTCTCTACTAAAAATCAAAAAATTTAGCCAGGTGTGGTCGTGTATGCCTGTGATTCCAGCTACTCAGGAGGCTGAGGCAGGAGGATCACTTGAGCATGGGAGGCCAAGGCTGCAGTGAGCCATGATTGTGCCATTGCATTCCAGCCTGGTAAACAAAGAAAGACCCTGTGTCAAAAAAAAAAAAAAAATTAAGGACTCATGTCTTTTTGGTTCTCTCTGCAGAAAGAAGCACTCTCCCGACCTAAAATAGGGGTTGGCACATAGTAGATACAGTAGTTACGGTACATGTTAAGCTGCTACAACAAAAAGACCCCTAGCCCCCACCAAATACAATGGCTAAAGAACACAGAAACTTAATTCTCTTTTGTTTAACAACAGTGCAGGGTGAGCAGGGGGCTTTGCTCTATGAGATTATTCAGGAACCCAGTTCCTTCTCTTCTGTTTCTCTGCCTTCCCCTAGGGTATTGTCCTAGTCCACATGGTCTGAGCTGACCCACACTTCCTGTTTGTATATCTGCTTGTGAGAAGAGTGAGACAGAGAGTAGAGAGCAAGTAATTTCTTATATAAACCTGATCTGAATGTTTCACACGTAAATTATTTTTGCCTCCCATTGGCCAAAGCTGAGTCATGTAGTCGTATGAGCTATAATAGAGGCGCTGAAGTATAGTCTCTTGTGGACAGTGTTTTTTTTTTTTTACACAAATTCTCACCCTGTCACTGAAGCTGGAGTCCACTGGCATGATCTTGGCTCACTGCGACCTCTGCCTCCCTGGCTCAAGCGATTCTCCTGCCTCACCTACCTGAGTAGCTGGGACTACAGGCACCTGCCACCCATGCCCAGTTAATTTTTGTATTTTTAGTAGAGATGGCCATGTTAGTAGAGATTCACCATGTTGGCCAGGTTGGTCTCGAACTCCTGACCTCAAGTGATCTGCCTGCCTCAGCTCCCCAAATCTTGTGGGTAGTATTTCTAGCTAACACTCAGGAAGGTTTTGTTTTGTTTTATTTTGTTTCGTAAATGGAAAAAGAGAAGACTGAGATTCAGTAGTATTCACTGCCACTCAAAATTTAGAAAATTTTAGAAATTTATTAAATTGGCCCACATTTTGAAATGAGAATTATTTAAGATTTATTAAAATACTTGAAGAGGCAAAGTGGTATAGTTGAAAGGTCAGAGACGTAGGTTTGACATTGTTGGTAACTAGCTAAAACCCCTATTACATTCTAGATAGATAGACTGGCAAGAATTTGAGACAATTACAGGAAAAATGGTTATAATTTCTTTTAATTTCATAATTAAAAACTACCGTTACAGCCTTTCTTGAACTTTTAAAATGTGTGTTCTGCCATTTTCAATAGTCATTAATGTTAGAAAATAATATGTTTTTAATTGTGTTTAGAAATTGAAGTAAATACAGTCTATGTTATGGAAAGTAAATATTTGACCGCTAATATTTTGAGACCTTTATTTATAGTTTCATATTTCACATTTCCATTGATTTTTAAGTCTAAATATCTTTATATTTTATTACAGATGGGGGTGTTTTAGAACAATCTCTGAAAACGGAACCAAATTTTTCCATAGCGTTATACTTTTATTTATGTTCTCTTTCTCTGCAGCCTGATACTGTGCTGTCAATGGCATTGTAAATGAAATTGAAAGTAAAATGTAGTAGTTTTCTACAAAAGGAGCAGATATACCCACTAAAGGATATATTTTAAATTCTCATTTATAAAAACATACATCACACTTTCTCAGAATTGTAATGGTGAATATTAAATTCTAAACGTGTCTTTATTATCATAAGTTTTGAATTTAACTTACTGCCTGTACTAATCTCGCTCTATAGGGTAGCTTTTGGTTGTAGTTGACTGTTAATTATTATTGTATTACTTTCTTTGTGGCAGAATTGTTTTCACATCTTCTAAAGAAATATCAAGTATTTATTTACATGCTAGGTTAAATAATTGAGTTAAAAACTCTAACATTTAAATTTTCTTTTCTTAGGATATGTCAGCTCAAGGATCATCTTCGCAGCTTCCTAAACCTTTTGATCCTGAGCCAGAAGCTAAATATGGCACACTGGATGTGACTTTTGACTATGACTCACAAGAACAGAAGCTTCTGGTAACAGTGACAGCTGTCACAGACATCCCAACATATAACAGGACAGGTGGCAACTCATGGCAAGTACACCTTGTTCTTCTACCTATAAAGAAACAGAGAGCAAAAACCAGCATCCAGAGAGGACCATGCCCTGTCTTCACAGAAACATTTAAATTTAATCATGTTGAATCTGAGATGATTGGAAATTATGCAGTTCGGTTTAGACTGTATGGTGTACATCGCATGAAAAAAGAAAAGATTGTGGGGGAAAAGATTTTTTATTTAACAAAATTGAATCTTCAAGGGAAAATGTCATTGCCTGTGATATTGGAACCTTCTTACAATCATTCTGTGAGTATCTCATCAAATGGCCTGAATACAGTTTATGTTCATGGTTTATAGTATGCACAATTTTAAAAATCTTTAATCAAGCCAACAAGTTTGTCAGTCTATTTTTTTACATAGTAATCATGCCTTTACAAAAATATCTAAGCCCTGGATAGATAGATATACTTTTTCTTACCTAAAAAAGTTGCCCTTGAAGATAATTTGTGATTTATGTCTTTTATTTTATCCTTCACAGAGTTTTGGCCCAGGGTTTTACATGTTTTTTGTTGTTGTTGTTGAACATTTATTAAATGTTTGATTATGAAGTCATCCAAACTCCTTATAGAATTTATTATTTTTTTTCCAGGTTAAAACTAGGCAATACATTAAGAAGTATCAGCCCCATATGTTATTTGCTGTATGGCAGAAAGGATTTGCCCTTACAGAATATATATACCGCTCCCTAGGTCCCGACTGGATATGTTTCCAGAACTTCTGTGAAATTATTTTAAAATTTCAAAATAAATCTGGCCTCATTAGACTTTCCACCCTTTTTAAACAGATTGTAAAGTATTTCAGGAGAACCCTTAAGCTTAGTACTTTGAGCTAGTTCTCTCTTTTCTCTTTTTGTCCTCCAGATGATAATCACATATAAATCTCTCTCTGTCTTCATATTTTTAACTAAATTCCCACAAGGCATTGCAAATCACAGGAGAGAAATGTCTGCACTGTTTATTTAAACCAGGGAGATACATTATGCCACATAGTTATTTAGATTATGAAAAAATCTGTGATATGCTGTAAGTGTGCATTATGGTTTATATTTATTCATCTCTGTTATATTGAATACAAAGCATTTTTAAAATATAAATATACAGATTTTAGAATAGGTTTATATTTTAAAATAAAGGTATACTATTTTAGTGTTGTTTTGAGCTTTTAAATGTGTAAGCTTCGGTCCAAGTAGTTTAGGGTCTCATCTCATTTACATCAGGCAACATTTTATGTTGTAAGACCTTGATTCACAGTCAACACCATACCAGTTTAACTAAATGATTTCAGTGTCTTTAAGTACAAAATGATGATGTAAATATAGTATATTCATATGGGTTTCTAGGATAAGACTTAATCTCTGTTGGGAAAATTGATAACTTGTTATCCTTTTAAATTTTCAGAATTATTTTGGGGAAATACCTTTTAGAAATAATAGCAGCTTAAAAGAGGGGAGAAAAAAGAGTTCAGGCAATATTTCGGAGGGGGGAAGAACGAATTTTTCATAAAATTTAATAATCTACAGTTATTAATATGATTTCTAAACTTCTTCATTATTTGGTCTGAGTGATCACTAGTTACTCTGTGGAAAATAAACGCTTATATAGAAATCTCATTTAAATTAGAAGAGAAAGACTCTGTCATCAAGAGGTATGTAATTTATCTGTTACCAATTAATTATGTTTTAATTACATTCATTTCACAAAGAGAATGAAGCCATAGAAAATAATACTGTCTTATCTCTGTTCAAACTAAGCAATTTTTTAATGGACCTACATTACGTGTGTTAGCTTCTAGTCATTGATTCTGTAATCTTTTTCTGCCAACCAGTACAATAATTTCTGAGGAAAAAGTGCCAAATAAATAGCTTGTAAGACATAACATTTATTTTTTTTAACTTTTATTTTAAGTTCAGGGGTACGTGTGCAGGTTTGTTATATAGGTAAACTTGTGTCATGGGGGTTTGTTTTACAGATTATTTCATCACCCAGGTATAAAGCCCAGGACCTAATAGTTAATTTTCCTGATCCTCTATCTTCTCCCACCTGCCACCCTCTGATAGGCCCCATTGTCTGTCGTTCTCCTCTAAAGATGTAACATTTATATTTGAATAAAACTATCCATCTTCTGCCCTTTCTCTGTGTTGACATGCTTCTCAAATTCAGTACCCTGTATTTAATTGTTCTTTTTTGTCACTTTCCTTCTTTCTCCACCTTCTCAAAATCTCATTGGTTGCTTTTGGCTTCTGTGCTATCAGTTGTTTAGTCATTAAAATATACCAATAGAATGTATATATTCTATATATACTATAGTATTAATGTTCTCCCTGCTTAAGTTTTAATATTAACTTTGTGGGGAGATCTTGTAATTGCAGTTTACTTGGGTGAGTTTGGCTCTAATTTTTGTAAGATGCAATAATATATCTGTAAGAGATACACTCATAATTAAACATTTGTTCTAGTTGCTTTTTTTCCCCAGAGTCAGGGTCTCACTCTGGGAAAAGTCAGGGTCACCCAGGCTGGGGTGTAGTAGTGCAATCATGGCTGATTGTAGCCTGAAACTCCTGGGCTTAAGTGATCCTCCCACCTCAGCCTCTCGAATAGCTAGGACTACAGGTGCACACCACCAGGCCTGGCTAATTTTTTTTTTTTAGAAATCGAGTCTTGCTGTGTTGTCCAGGCTAGTCTTGAACTCCTGGCCTGAAGCGATTCTCCCATGTCAGTCTCCCAAAACGCTGGGATTACAGGCATGAGGCACCATGCCAGGCCTTCTAGTAGCTTTTGAATAATCACTTATTATTGTTGTCATTTTTATTGTAACTTTTGGCAAGGAAAAGTTTTAATCCAGCCAAAGAACTTGCAAACTACCATTAAAACACATTTAAACTTACAGTTTTTTTCATAGATAATAGGAAAATAGAATTTTGCATATAAAATTTAGTTTTATAGCTAGTTTTGCAGGAACTGATTGAGAGAAAAAAAAGACCAATGTCACCAAAATGACTTTCTGAGAACTAAACAGTGAGTTTCCCTGAGAATAAGATTAAAGTTTAACATTAAGGCCGGGCGCAGTGGCTCACACCTGTATTCCCAACACTTTGGGAGGCCGAGGTGGGCAGATCATGAGGTCAGGAGATTGAGACCATCCTGGCTAACACGATGAAACCCCGTCTCTACTAAAAATACAAAAAATTAGCCGGGCGTGGTGGCAGGTGCCTGTAGTCCCAGCTACTCGGGAGGCTGAGACAGGAGAATGGTGTGAACCCAGGAGGCGGAGCTTGCAGTGAGCTGAGATCACGCCACTGCACTCCAGCCTGGATGACAGAGCAAGACTCTGTCTCAAAAAAAAAAAAAAAAAAAGAGTTTAACATTAAGATATAGTTTGAAGTGTGCCTTCTTGATCAATGCATGATAGAAAATATACTTAAGAGTTTAAAAAGCATAATTTCTTTCTACTGACTAGCCCTGTAAACTAAGTAAATCATCTGATTATTTTGGGCATCAGGTTTCTCATTAGTGAAATCAGAGGATTAGACCAAGTGATCTCTAAAGGCCTATCCATCTCTGATATTGTCTAATTATGCTAGTATATATTGGGAATGGAGTTAGGCAGGAACAGAAATTGGTGAATTTTAGATGAGTTTTGTATGCGTGATATGACATTTTGTGGCAGACATGTATTATGTTTTCTCTTCTACCTTTTCAGTAACTATCTGGGAATAACCATGTCTACCTCCCTAAGGTAAGCCATAAAATTGACTTTCCCCGTCTCACTGGTAGATATGGCAGGAGCTGTGTGACCTAGACTCTGCCACTCATACTTATTTTCTGGAAACCTCAATACAGACTGAACAAAGAAGCAGACACTGCAGTCAGATCATGTTTCCATGAAGTTGATGGTGGAGGTATCTGGTGTTCAGAGGCAATAGTAATTCTGTTATAAAATAGCTCTGCTGATGCAGAAATGGTATTGGTGCTGGGCCACTAACAGTTGCAGTAGAGGAAAGTCCTTGGCAGAAAAGAATCCAGTGAGAACAGCAGCAGGTTTTCCTCACCTGACCAATTCTGTAGTATGGTTTGTAGACTTCATTCTTGAGAAGCTTAACCATTAACTTGGTTCTTTATTCATCCCTAGTCCTTTAATAAATTACTATTCCACTTTATGAGTCAGAGTTAGCGTCTGTTGTTTTCAAATAAGAATCGTGAAATAGCCATATGGTTTACTATTTACTTGCTTTAGTACTGTCTTATGCCAAACTCAGTAGCTAGAATGTTTTCAGTTATCCTTCCTACCATGGCATATATCCCTCTCATAATTTGAACTCTTATATACACAGCTTTGTTCAGATGGCACTCTTTCTTAGTATTTAACCCCAATTAATTTCTTCACTTGCATTTTTGGTACTATATTACTCTCTAACAGTTGCATAAAATAACCTTTCCCTTTTTCCTCATCCTGGTTTTATGTCTAATTTCAGCTTATTAGATTTGTTAATATTATTACATTTATTGATTGATTAATAATGAAACTCTATTCTTTATCTCACAAACATACACACAACCCTTCCTGTA
Organism: Homo sapiens; assembly: GCF_000001405.40. Lineage (NCBI taxonomy): Eukaryota > Metazoa > Chordata > Mammalia > Primates > Hominidae > Homo > Homo sapiens. The sequence goes on from NC_000001.11 coordinate 210,104,781, forward strand.
CAAACAGTACTTAATTCTGATCTCTTCAGAGTGGCTAGCAATAATAATAGTGAGGCTATTGGACAATTCTCAGAATATAGGAGTCTTTATTAAATCCTTGGTTTATTTTCATTATTATATATATGGTTTTTGGTGAGTTGCCTTTTAGGAAAACTGATATTTGACAAAGCTGTGATGTGTTTCATCTTGAAATAAGGTTCTCTACATTAATAGATGAGCAGCAGGCGTACCTGTTAAGTTTTTTTTTCTGTAGACAAATGGTTCTCGAAGTATGATTCCTGGACCAACATCATCACATAGGAACTTGATAGAAGTGCAGATTCTCATTCCCTCTCCGAAACTTTCTGAATTAAAAAAAACACTGAGGGTAGGGCCCAGCAATCTGCATTTTAACAAGCACTGTACATGATTCTGATATACATTAAAGTTTGTGAATCACTGCTTTTGACCAGGGTTTGCAAACTATGACTTGTGAGTCAACTCCGGCATGTAGCCTGCTTTGGTAAGGTCTGTTGCTCCTCTCTGCAAAAGCAGCATAGATTACCACTCTGTTGAACTCAGGTGTGGCCAGGTGACTTGCTTTTATCTTCTGCTCGTAACCTTTAAGAATCAGAATAATGCATTCACTACTATGGAAGCATGTGTGGAAATGGGGCCTCTTTGAGCTTTGAAGGAAGCCTCTGTTGCCAATCCAAAATCGATATGTTGTATAAGGAGGAAGTAAACCATTGTTGAATTAAGCTGCTGAGAATTTGGAGTTCTCTGTTACTATAGCATAATCTACCCTGGCTGATAAAACATTTGCTCTTCTGACTAAGGAGTACATTAACCCCTGCGGTCGAGAATCAGATGAAGCAGGTAATATAGTTTGGATTTCCCCTCCAAATCTCATGTTGAACATGTCGAAATGTAATCCCCAATGTTGGAGGTGGGGCCTGGTGGAAGGTGATTGGATCCTGGGGGCAGATTTCTCATGAGTGGTTTAGCACCATCCTCTTGCTGCCGTCCTCACGATAGTAAATTATTTCTCATGAGATCTGATTGTTTAAAGGTCTGTGGCATCTCCCCCTCTCCCTCTCTCACTCTTGCTCTCTTCATGTGACATGCCTGCTTCCATTTTTGCCTTCTGCTGAGAGTAAAAGCTCCCAGTGGCCTCCCCAGAAGCTGAGCAGATTGCTGCACCATGCTTGTACAGCCTGCAGAACTGTGAGCCAATTAAACGTCTTTTCTTTATAAATTGCCCAGGTATGTCTTTTTAACAACATAAGAATGGCCTAACACAGCAGGGAATTGACTAACACAGTTGCCTTCTTCTGAAAGAATCTAAGGCACCATATGTGTTGCAGATTTGATTACCTGGGAAGCAGACTCTGAGAGGGAGTTTAGTGTGCCAAATGTTTGTTAAGGAGTGCTCTTGGGATTCATACTTGTAAAAGAGGAGATGGAAGCAGGATTGGGCAGAGAGAAGTCAAGCTGCAGTGCATGCCCAAAGACAGTCTTAGCCTACCCCCAGGGAATTCTGGAACTAAAATAGTCCCTCAGAGTTGTCCCCATTTGGGCTGAGATGGCCAGGCCTTTATACTCCCATCAGTCAGTCATTGCATGTTGGTTGCCGCTTGTATTAGTCTGTTCTCATGATGCTAATAAAGACATACCCAAGCCTGGGTAATTTATAAAGGAAAGAGGTTTAATTGACTCACAGTTCCACAGGGCTGGGGAGGCATCTTGAAACTTACAATCATGGCAGAAGGGGAAGCAAACATGTCCTTCTCCACATGGCGGCAACAAGGAGAAGTGCCAAGGAAAAGGGGGAAAAGCCCCTTATAAAACCATCAGATCTCTTGAGAACGAACTCACTCTTATGAGAACAGCATAAGGGTAACTGCCCCCATGATTAAATTATGTCCCACAGGGTTCCTCCCATGGAGGCGGGATTATGGGAACTACAATCCAAGGTGAGACTTGGGTGGGGAAACAGCCAAACCATATCATTCTGCCCTTGGCCACCCCCGCAAATCTCATGCCCTCACATTTCAAAACAAAATCCTGCCTTCCCAACAGTCCCCCAAAGTCTTAACTCATTCTAGCATTAAGTCAAAAGTCCAAGTCCAAAGTCTCATGTGAGACAAGGCAAGTCCCTTCCACCTATGAGCCTGTGAAATAAAAAGCAAGTTAGTTACTTCTTAGATGCAATGGAGGTACAGGCATTGAGTAAATACACCTGTTCCAAGTGGGAGAAATTGGCCAAAACAAAGGGGCTACGGGCCCCATGCCAAGTCCAAAATCCAATAGAGCAGTCATTAAACCTTAAAATTCCAAAATGATCTGCTTTGACTCCATGTCTGACATCCAGGTCATGCTGATGCAAGAGATGGGCTCCCACAGCCTTGGGCACCCCTGAAAGGGTGACCTTGGGTGAGGCAGTTCTTTACAGTTGAATCAGTTCCTGAAGGGACTGACATTGAAGGCTGTCTTCCAACAACAGCCCTCCTGACAGCTAGGGCAACAGTCTCTTTGTAGATAGATAGGGAATTATCTATTGACAATTACAATTGTCAACTACAATTCAAGGTGAAACTTGAGTGGAGAAACAGCCAAACCATATCATTCTACCCTTGGCCCCTCCCACATCTTATGTCCTCACAATTCAAAACAAAACCATACTGACATTTGATTGACAGTGTATCACAGTGTCTATCATAGCTATAAATCTGGACAGTATAAAAAATACTGTATTTGATTTTTTTAACTGGAAGGCAGACATAGGGCAGATGGGAAGAAATGTAAGAATGCTAATATGCTAATGTAGTTAAGAAAAATGACTAACCCTCTCCTATTTAACTTAGAGAAGGATTATTTAGAAAATAATCAGCAAGGAAGAAATATTTATGTAAAGTTCAACTATTCATTTTATTTCATTTTTTTCTATTAAATTTATGTAAGGTAAAATGGATTTTTAAATAAAATAGCTATAGTTTGATCCTATTTTTATAAAAGTATTTCTATTCCTTTTTCTGTTAGTATATATTCATAGAATGATGCCTGCAGGATGTTTACCTAATAGCAATTTAGGTTTAGGTTTATGGTGATTTTTTTTTACTTCTATCTTTGTTTATTTCTGTCTTTGTTTTTTTATGATAATCATTTGTCAGTTAAAAAATGGAGGGTCAGAAAGGGCCAGGGAATTTGGACCCTGGTCAGTTTGGTGGGGATGAATAAGTAAATAAGTTCCTTGCTGGATTATTTAAGTCCTTGAAGGGATGGGAGAAAACACAGGACCACAGTGAAAACTTAAATTTTCTTAAGTTCTAATGATAGAGGGTACTTAATATTTTCTTAGATGTCTGTATTTCATTAAATCTGGCTCTTGCTTACACTTCTGTGTGAACACAAAGCAGTTCTGGAAGTAGACATGAGAGTACATGATTGTCTTGGGTGAGAAGAGATCTTCAGGAACCCCTAGATTTAAAAATTGGAGAAAAGAGAGGTAAAGTAGGAAGAAAGAGGCAATAAGAGATCATGAAAGCCAAGAATGAAGTTCATGAAGGAAGGAATAATCAGCTTTGTCAGATGTTGATGATGGAAAGAATAATCTGAATATTAAAAACTGTGTGTTGGATTTAGGATATGGAAGTCATAGATAGCTTTTCAGGGGCTAATTTTGATATTGTGAAGGGGCTAGAATCCAAACGAGAGTGGCAGTCATTTAGACAGTTTTTTCACCAAATCTGGCTATAACAATAGGAAGAAAGAGAGAACAGTATTTGGAAAGTGAGGGTTTAGGGAGAATGTTTTTGAGGTGAGGAGAGCCTTGGGCATGTTTAAATACTAATGCAAATGATTTGATTAAAAAAAAAAAGGACAAATAACTGAAGAGAGCCATTAATCAATGTGTTTGGGATATAAACAGAGAGGCAAAAGTGTTAGAGTATTTTCAAGAGATTTACTTAAATGGTAGATCATGAAATAAGAGAGAAGTGAAGCCAGAAAGGGGATTATGGGCAGGAGAAGTAGAAAGGTTAGTGGACTGAAAGTCCCAAGGATATCAAGAAAGAGTTGTGAGAGGAGTAGCTAAGCAAGAAGTGTTGAAGGATGGCAGACTGGTTGAAAGGGGAATGTTTTCAGTTCATATGATGTGGAAGGAGAAGGGTCCAGAGTGTGATGGTGGAAGTGGGCATCTGAGATAGAGTAAAAGGTACAATTACTGGAGAGGGATAATTTTCAAGAGGGCTAGGTTCTTAGATAGGCTGAGTGGACACTGAAGTTACAAAAGATGATGACGGAAGTTGAAGTGTAAGAAGGTTGAATCCAGAATCAAATTTACAAGAAAAAAACAACTCCATCAAAAAGTGGGCAAAGGATATGAACAGACACTTCTCAAAAGAAGACATTTACGTGGCCAACAAACGTATGAAAAAAAGCTCATCATTACTAGGCATTAGAGAAATGCAAATCAAAAACCACAGGATACCATCTCACTCCAGTTAGAATGGCGATCATTAAAAAGGCAGAAAACAGACCGGGCGCGTTGGCTCACACCTGTAATCCTAGCACTATGGGAGGCTGAGGTGGGCAGATGACAAGGTCAGGAGGTTGAAACCATCCTGGCCAACATGGTGAAATCCCGTCGCTAATAAAACACAAAAAATTAGCTGGGCATGGTTGCGCGCACCTGTAGTCCCAGCTATTCGGGACGCTGAGGCAGGGGAATCACTTGAACCTAGGAGGTGGAGGTTGCAGTGAGCCAAGATTGCAGCACTGCATTCCAGCTTGGCAACAGAGCAAGACTCTGTCTCAAAAAAAAAAAAAAGAGAGAAAAAACAAAACAACAACAACAAAAAGGAAACAACAGATGCTAGAGAAATAAGAATGCTTTTACACTGTTGGTGGGAGTGTAAATTAGTTCAGCCATTGTGGAAGACAGTGTGATGATTCCTCAAGGATCTAGAACCAGAAATACCATTTTGCCCAGCATTCCCATTGCTGAGTATATACCCAAAGGATTGTAAATCATTCTGCTATAGAGACACGTACACATGTATGTTTATTGCAGCACTGTTCACAATAGCAAAACTTGGAACCAACCCAAATGCCCATCAGTGATAGACTGGATAAAGAAAATGTGGCACATACACACCATGGAATACTATGCAGCCATAGAAAAGGATGAGTTCATGTCCTTTGCAGGGACATGGATGAAGCTGGAAACCATCATTCTCAGCAAACTAACACAGGAACAGAAAACCAAACACCACATGTTCTCACTCATAAGTGGGAGTTGAACAGTGAGAACACATGGACACAGGGAGGGGAACATCACACACCGAGGCCTGTCAGGGGATTGAGGGTTAGGGGAGGGATAGCATTAGGAGAAATACCTAATGTAGATGATGGGTTGATGGTTGCAGCAAACCACCATGGCACGTGTATACCTACGTAACAAACCTGCAGATTCTGCACATGTATCCCAGAACTTAAAGTATAATAAAAAAAATTTTTAAAAGAAGATTGAATCAAGGACCATTTTCCTCAAGGAACAAAGAAGAAATGTTCAAGGAATGAAGATGAAATGTCCAGGAGGACAAAATAGGAGGACAGGATGATACAAACTTTAAAGGAAAATAGTTATTCTTTTCCACAACTTTTAGAGGAGCAATGCTTGAGAAACAGCAGAGAACTTTGCTTCCTGATCTTGAGTCACTTGGGATATGAGGGAATAACCAGAATGAAAAGTCAAGAGGGAATGAAGTATCCTCCAGGAAGAATTCTGTTTCAATTAAACAAGGTGTTGGGAGTCCAAAGCAAAGATTAAAGTTCTAGAAGAGTTTATCGTAGATCAGGGGTACCAAGGAGACATAGTAAAGGATTATACTAAAATGTCAATCTCAGTCATAATTTGGTTCTATTTAAATCTCAGATTTCACAAGTCTAATTTAAATCATATCTTTATAGAAATATATTAGATTGTTATTCTTATTTTTGAGACAGAGTTTCGTTCTTGTTGCCCAGACTGGAGTGCAATGGCGCGATCTCAGCTTACCACAACCTCTGCCTCCTGGGTTCAAGCAATTCTCCTGCCTCAGCCTCCCGAGTAGCTGGGATTACAGGCATGCGCCACCACACCCAGCTAACTTTGTATTTTTAGTAGAGATGGGGTTTCTCCATGTTGGTCAGGCTGGTCTTGAACTCCCGACTTCAGGTGATCTGCCTGCCTTGGTCTCCCAGAGTGCTGGGATTACAGGTGTGAGCCACCACATTAACATAAACCATTTAACTTATCTATGTAAACCCAAAATCCGGTACTAATTTTCACACACGTCTGTGTGAAGAGACCACCAAACAGGCTTTGTGTGAGCAATAAAGCTTTTTAATCACCTGGGTGCAGGCGGGCTGAGTCCAGAAAGAGGGTCAGTGAAGGGAGATAGGGGTGGGGCCATTTTATAGGATTTGGGTGGGTAGTGGAAAAATTACAGTCAAAGGGGGTTGTTCTCTGGTGGGCAGGGGTGGGTGTCACAAGGTGCTCAGTGGGGGAGTTTCTGAGCCAGGAGAAGGAATTTCACAAGGTAATGTCATCAGTTAAGGCAGGAACCGGCCATTTTCACTTCTTTTGTCATTCAGTTACTTCAGGCCATCTGGATGTATACATGCAGGCTTGGGCCCAGAGGCCTGACATTGTTTTCTTAATAAGAAAAATAAAACAAAATACTGTTGAAGTGTTGGGGTGGCGAACATTTTTGGGGGTGGTATGGAGAGATAATGGGCAATGTTTCTCAGGGCTGCTTCGAGCGGGATTAGGTTCGGCATGGGAACCTAGAGTAGGAGAGATTAAGCTGAAGGAAGATTTTGTGGTAAGGGGTAATACTGTAGGGTTGTTAGAAGAAACATTTGTTGTATAGAATGATTGGTGATGGCCTGGATGCGGTTTTGTATGAATTGAAAAAGTAAACAGAAGACACGAAGTCCGAATAATAGGAGAAAAACAGATATTAAAGGACTAAGAATTGGGAGGACCCAGGACATCCAATTAGAGAGTGCCTAAGGGGGTTCAGCGGAATTACTTGCTTTGTTGGCAAGTTTTTGGGTTCTATCCTTAATATAGTCCTCCTTTTTAAGTTGGAGGCTGTGAGGTGAGGTGTGTTTTTAAAAGACCATTAGTCCATTTTATCTTTCCTGAAGGTTGAGGGTGGTAAGGGGCATGAAGGTTTCACTGAATACCAAGAGCCTGAGAAACTGCTTGGGAGATTTGACTAGTAAAGGCCGGTCCGTTATCAGACTGTACAGAGGTGGGAAGGCCAAACCAAGGAATTATGTCTCACAGAAGGGAAGAAATGACTGCAGTGGCTTTCTCAGACCCTGTGGGAAAGGCCTCTACCCATCCAGTGGAAGTGTCTACCCAGACCAAGTGGTATTTTAGTTTCCTGACTCAGGGCATGTGAGTTAAGTCAATTTGCCAGTCCTGGGCAGGGGCAAATCCCCGAGCTTGATGTGTAGGGAAGGGAGGGGGCCTGAACAATCCCTGAGGAGGAGTGGAATAGCAGATGGAACACTGAGAAGTGATTTTCTTGAGGACAGATTTCCACGATGGAAAGGAAATGAGAGGTTCTAAGAGGCAGGCTAGTGGCTTGTAACCTACATGGAAGAGGTTATGAAATAATGACAGAATAGAATGGGCCTATGAGGCCGGAAGGAGATACTTTCCTTGGTCCAAAAACCATTTGCCTTGTGTCGGAAGAGATTGATAAGTGGAAGTTGTAGTGGGGGAGTATTTGGGAGTGACCGATGAGAAGGAGAAAAACTGACAGTGAGGGACGGAAGTTGGAAGCTAGCTGCTGCTTTAGCTACCTTGTCAGCAGAAGTGTTGCCCTGAGCGATGGGATCTGATGCCTTTTGATGGCCCTTGCAGTGAATGACTCCAGCTTCCTTTGGAAGTAAAGCAGCCTTGAGAAGAGTTTTTATTAAAGAGGCATTAATGATGGAGGACCCTTGCGTAGTGAGGAAACTTCTTTTTGCCTATATAACAGCATGGTGGTGCAGGATATGGAAGGCATATTTAGAGTCAGTATAAATATTGACATGTAGTCTTTTGCAAGAGTGAGGGCTCGAGTCAAGGCAATGAGTTCAGCTTGCTGAGAGGTGGTGGAAGGGGGCAGAAAGTATATGCGTCAGGTGTGAGGAAGAAAATAGATTTTGCAAGTTTTGAGAACTGTAGAGAGTGAGTTGAGCATAGTTTTTTATTTTGAGGGCCTCTAAAAGTATTAAAGCAGCGGCAGCCGCCGCACGCAGACATGAGAGCTAAGCTAAAACACTAAGGTCAAGTTGTTTGGACAAAAAGGCTACAGGGCGTGGTCCCGGCTCTTGTGTAAGAACTCTGACCGCACAGCCCTGCACTTCGGCTGTGTGTAATGAAAAGGGAGTGATGAGTTAGGGAGAGCTAGTGTGGGAGCTGTTTTTTAAGGAATGGAAAGGGGAGTGGGGAAAGGATTTAGGATCTGTGGGGTCAGCTAGGTTTATCTAGAGCAGAATAATGGGTTGTGGAGGGGTTGTGGAGGGAGGTACTGAGGATAGGAGAGTATATGGGTTTGGCACCATGAGGTGGATAGGCAAAACAATTTAGTTGATAAGGCACAGATCCTGAACTAACTTGTAAGACTTGTCCGGTTTTTGGACAGGTAAAATGGGTGAATTGTAAGGAGAGTTTATAGGCTTTAAAAGGCCATGCTGTAACAGGCAAGTGATAACAGGCTTTAATCCTTTTAAAGCATACTGTGGGATGGGATATTGGTGTTGAGCGGGGTAAGGGTGATTAGGTTTTAATGAGATGGTAAGGGGTGCATGATCGGTTGCTAAGGAGGGAGTAGAGGTGTCCCATACTTGTGGATTAAGGTGGGGAGATAGAAGGGGAGGATGTGAAGGAAGCTTTGAACTGGGGAAAAGGGTGGCAATGAGGTGTGGCTGTAGCCTAGGAATAGTCAGGGAAGCAGATAATTTAGTTGAAATGTCTCCACCTAATAAGGGAGCTGGGCAGGTGGGGATAACTAAAAAGGAGCGCATAAAAGAATGTTGTCCAAGTTGGCACCAGAGTTGGGGAGTTTTAAGAGGTTTAGAAGCCTGGCCATCAATACCCACAACAGTTATGGAGGCAAAGAAAATAGGCCCTTGAAAAGAAAGTAATGTGGAGTTGGTAGCCTCCACATTGATTAAGAAGGGGACGGACTTACCTTCCACTGTAAGAGTTACTGAAAGAGTCTGTGTTGGTCCAGGAGGCTTCTGAGGCAATCGGGCAGTGTCAGTCTTCAGCCGCTATGCCGAGAAGATCTGGGAAGGAGTCAGTCAGAGAGCCTTGGGCTAGAGTTCCAGGGACTCTGGGAGTGGCTGCCAGGCAAGCTGGACAGTCCGATTTCCAGTGGGGTCCCTCACAGATGGGACATGGTTTAGGAGGAATCCCGGGCTGCAGGCATTCCTTGGCCCAGTGGCCAGATTTCCAGCACTTAAAGCAAGATCCTGGGGGAGGAGGTCCTGAAGGAACGCCTGACCACTGTGGCTTAGGTGTTTTGAAGTTCTTGTGTGCTGGAGATGTGGCTGGGGTTCCTCTCACAGCAGAGGCAGGTAATTGCAACTCTTCTCTATTATTGTACACCTTGAAGGCGAGGTTAATCAAGTCCTGTTGTGGGGTTTGAGGGCTGGAATTTAATTTTTGGAGCTTTATTTAATATTGGGAGCAGATTGGGTAATAAAATGCATATTGAGAATAAGATGGCCTTCTGACCCTTCAGGGTCTGGGGCTGTAAAGCATCTAAGGGTTGTTGCCAAACGGGCCATGAACTGGGCTGAGTTTTTATATTTGATAAAAAGGAGCCTAAACGCTAACTGATATGGGAGAGGTCGGATAAAGAAAAAGGAGCATTAACCTTGACTGTGCCTTTAGCTCCAGCCACCTCTTTAAGATGAAATTGTTGGGCAGGTCAGGGAGGGCTAGTCATGGAACAAAACTGTAAACTGGACCAGGTGTGAGGAGGGGAGGTGATAAAAGGATTATAGGGTGGGGGAGCAGAGAATGAGGAAGAATTGGGACCTGGCTCGGCCTAGCAAGGAGCAGCCTGGGGAGGAGGGGAGAGGTCAGATGGGTCCATAGAAAAGGAAGATTGGAAAGACTTAGCAATGCTTAGGGTTGGGACTGAGGGGACAGGCAGGAGGGAAAGAAGGAATATTTGGGACGAGTTGCATTGGGAACAGAGACTAGGGAGGGACTGATGTGTAAAAGAATGCCTGGACATCAGGCATCTCAGACCATTTGCCCATTTTACGACAAGAATTATCTAGATCTTGTAGGATGGAAAAATCGAAAGTGCCATTTTCTGGCTATTTGGAACCATTGTCGAGTTTGTATTGGGGTTAAGCAGCATTGCAGAACAAAATAAGGCATTTAGGTTTTAGGTCAGGTGTGAGTTGAAGAGGTTTTAAGTTCTTGAGAACACAGGCTAAGGGAGAAGAAGGAGGAATGGAGGGTGGAAGGTTGTCTATAGTGAAGGATGCAAGCCCAGAGAAAAGAGAGGGTAGAGACACAGAGAGAAGGGTTGGGGGGTGCTTGCCCCCCAGGAAAGTGGTGCTTGCCACTAAGGGTGAAGGATCAAGGCAGGCATCCCTGCAGTGATCAGACACCTCTGAAACATGGGTGAATAATCAAGCAGGCGTCCCCGCAGTGATTAAACACCAAGGGAAGACTGTCTTCCAGAGTCCGTTACCAGCACCGGAGTTTTGGGTTCATGGATAAAATGTGTCTTCTCTGTCTCTACCAGAAAAGGAAAGGAACTGAAATTAAGAGAAGGGAGAGATTGAAGGATGGCGGCAAGGTTGAAAGGAGAAAGAGGTTGAGGGATAGTGAGAGAGGTTGGAGAAGAGAGTAAAAAGAGGCCACTTACCCGATTTAAAATTGGTGAGATGTTCCTTGGGCTGGTTGGTCTGAGGACCCGAGGTCGTAGGTGGATCTTTCTCATGGAGCAAAGAGCAGGAGGACAAGGGATTGATCTCCCAAGGGAGGTCTCCCAGTCTGAGTCACGGCACCAAATTTCATGTGCATCTGTGTGAAGAGACCACCAGGCTTTGTGTGAGCAATAAAGCTTTTTAATCATCTGGGTGCAGGCAGGCTGAGTCCGAAAAGAGAGTCAGCGAAGAGAGGTAGGGGTGGGCCGTTTTATAGGATTTGGGTGGGTAGTGGAAAATTATAGTCAATAGGGGTTGTTCTCTGGTGAGCAGGGGCGGGGGTCACAAGGTGCTCAGTGGGGGAGCTTCTGAGCCAGGAGAAGGAATTTCACAAGGTAATGTCATCAGTTAAGGCAGGAACCAGCCATTTTCACTTCTTTTGTCATTCTTCAGTTACTTCAGGCCATCTGGATGTATATGTGCAGGCTTGGGCCCAGAGGCCTGACACTAATTATTGCTGTATAAATGTTGAATGAATGGATGGGTGAATAAGTTCATAGGGTATGTATATTATCTCTGAGTTTATTGCCTGTAGTTTCATTTTTGCAGCTAATCTTATATTATTGAACTTGTTTTGTTTTTGTTTTGTTTTGTTTTGAGATAGAGTCTCACTCTGTTTCCACGCTGGAGTGCAGTGGCACAATCTCAGCTCACTGCAACCTCCACTTCCCAGGTTCCTGGTTTCAAGTGATTTTCCTGCCTCAGCCTCCCAAGTTGCCAGGACCATAGGCATGCGCCACCATGTCCGGCTAATTTTTGTATTTTTGGTAGAGGTGGGGTTTCACCATGTTGGCCAGGCTGGTCTCAAACTCCTGACTTCAAGTGATCTGCCCCCCTTGGCCTCCCAAAGTATTGGGATTACAGGCATGAGCCACCATGCCCATCCTGAACTCATTGTTTTATATCTTAATCTAGATTTTAAACACTTGGAGAAGAGAGACTGTTTTATTTATATGGTATTTTTCATAGTATCTAAAACATAGGTGTTCAATGAACACTTATTAAATTTATTCATCAACATATGGTATTTTTCATAGTATCTAAAACACAGGTGTTCAATGAACACTTATTAAATTTATTCATCAACATGTCCAAGTAAATCTGATCATTCTTAAATTCTTATTCAGTTTCATATAATATAATATTATTTCTTGAGAGGTGTCAGTATCCTGCCCCTACTAAGAATCTTTTATAACCTGGAATGCAATAAGCATGCATCTCAGGGTATTTAAATAGGAACACATCAGGAGTTGTTTTATTTTTAAATAATAATTGATTAATTAGGGACATATGTGTGTATGCCACTTCTCAGTCAAGAGTATAATGCCACAGACTCTTAAGACTGAACTACCCTCTTTATGACTTACTACAATGATGAACTTGTAGATAGTTGTAATTTCAACCTTTAATTTCTAAAATTCCTATGTGTCAGAAATAGCCTATCTTTTATGTTAATGGATTAAATCACTTCAGTTTGATGTTTATACTGTTATTTTTATTTTTAAGAGGTAAATTATTGCTGATACTCTATAATTCAGATGTGTGTCCCTATAAGAATCATACTTTATATTATAAGGAAATACCTTTCAAAACTTAGCTTCATCTGTTTTCATATTCAGTATAATTCACAACTACCATTGTCAGCAAAAATCTACATTTTCTGAATGTAGATTACTCTTCTTCTTTGTAAAACAATTTGTAATAAATACTTCATGATAAACTAATAATCACAGTTAAAAATTACTACATGAAGAAGAAAGCTACATGTGTTCTAGTTCCCTAGACAACAACAGTAATGAGTCATGGCTCACTTTAGTATAAAAACTTAATGATTATAGACCTATTTACAGACAATTATTCACAGAGAAAGTAAATGAGCATATATTATTAGTTGAGAGGAATAACTGCAGTCTCACACAAAGAATTGTTATCAGATAAATCTTTTAGTGAAAAGAAGAAACAAACAGGTCATAAAAGAAAGCCTTTTGTTTAAGTCAGATTTTTAGTTTTGTAGGAAAAAAGTCAGGTTTAAAGGTCAAGTCTCAAGAAATTTTGAACATGCAGGAAGACTGAGTGAGAAAAACTGAAATTTCAATATGTAAAACTGCTTTTTAAAGTATTTAATATAGAGAATAAAGAACATCAAGCACCTAAATTGGGATTCATTTTGTTGAGCCATCCAAATGCTAATCCCTTCACTGTCAGCAACCAACAAGTGTGTATTATGTTTTTCAACAATGAAAGAATAAGCTTAAAGCACAGGCATTGTTTTCCTTTGCTGCTCTATTTTATTTTAAGCAATTTATTTCTTCATGATACCAACTTTAGTTGTTTGTAATGCTAATGAGAGAGATTAACAAATGTTTTATGGAAAGAGAATACTACTTGACCATTTTATGGTAGATTATAACACATAAATGGGTCCAAGCAAGCAGCATATTCTGTAGTTAAGTATGCTCTAAAATTTATTAAATTGAGAAAGAGGGGATAAAATAGTGTTTCTTATAAAAACATCATAGGGAGACAACATTCAAATTCTAAATATTAACTGTTATTTCAAAAATTATTTCTTTGGGGAGTATCTAGATTATGGACATCCTGAAAACATGCCTTCTTCATTATTATCAACATCTATGAAATTATATATATTTAAGGAAGCATTTTTATTACATTACAGTGTTCCCGAGTAAGTTCCCTTTTGTGTTGATTGTTTTTTGTTTTGTTTTTGTTTTTTGAGATGGAGTCTTGCTTTCATTACCCAGGCTGGAGTGCAATGGCGTGGTCTCGGCTCACTGCAACCTCCGCCTCCCAGTTCAAGTGATTCTCCTGCTTCAGCCTCCCAAGTAGCTGGGATTACAGGCACCTGCCACCATGCCCAGCTAATATTTTTGTATTTTTAGTAGAGATGATGTTTCATCATGTTGGCCAGGCTGGTCTCGAACTCCTGACCTCAGGTGATCCATCTGCCTCTGCTGATTGTTTTATAATAATAATAGTTGTATCCACTGTGTTTCTTGTTTATTATCTTACCATTTGGTGGATGGATGATAATTAAATGAACAGTAACATTGAGTGAGGTTGTTCTTCAGGTCTACCCTTTACAAATGAAAGAAATAGCAAACAGAAGCAATGTTTTATTCTTTTCTTTAATCATTTTCCCCATCATGCTAATCTAAAATAACAATAAAGTATACAATGGGCAAATATGTTTTAAAACCAAAATCCTTAATTCTCATATTTTTGTACTCAAAATCTTGACAGATGATTTATAATAGTAGGTGCTTCATTTGAAAAATGTTTAATACTATTTTTAATGATAGATATGAATATGTATTTTATAAGAATATATTTTATCAGCAAACTACTAGTAATTACATTGCTTGTAATCTTTCCTCTGAATTTAGCAGTAGTGAGGATATTTCTTCCAAGAATTATGGATATATCTGCTGAGACAGTTATTTTGAGGTGGACAGGATTTAATGCTACTTTTCCAAAGTAGTGTCCATTTAGGCAGATGGTGAGAATTTAAAGAAAACTGGGAAATACTAATTGCAAAAATGTTTTTCTCTCCAGAAAACTTGAGATTTAATTTAGAAAAGAGGCAGTTTTTATCCTTGATGTATTTATGTTCTTAGAATAGAGTAGAACTTAAGAAATACTGAATGCAGCCTAGGACAAAGGAACTTAATTTTAAACATTTTAAATTGAATGAAATTGTTTATTAGCAGGTTTCTAGTCTCATAATCACATTTGTGCTGTGGATTCAGTAGAGACTTATAATGAGTCAGAAAGATATCTATTTGAAAGTTACGTTGAATTTTATGCAGGGAAAAGAATAATTCTGGTCATAAAGTTATTGTTCATGATGAGCCAGTATATAAATTTCCTGATGTTTATTTTAAGCAAATAGATGTAAATTTCCATAATTGAAAATGAACATGCTCCTGCAAGTACCACGTGTTTGTATTCCCGGAGCTCCTGTTAGAGTAAAATACACATTTTTAGGTGTTGATTATGCAAAGATGTTCTGGTAAAAAGGCTAATTCTCCATAGTACACATGTTAGAATTGAAATAGTAGTGCCAGCTTACCTGGGTACTTCACAAGGTTGTGAAGATTAAATGAGGTAAAGTATGTGAAAACCTTTGAACTAACAAATATTAGTTGCGTCTCTGAGATAAAACGGGTGTCCTTAATTTAATTTGAGTAATTCTACCATTTTTGGTAACGATATCCTCTGATCTTACAAAAGGTATACATTATTTTCTTTCCTATATCTCTTAGAATTGTTTTTATAGGCTATACCTTAGCTATTTACCATGTCCTTTTTATAGTCAGTCACTTTTGGGGCAACTAATGATTAGAATGGTACTAAATTACTTTTTTTTTTCTAGTAGGAAAAGCTAACAGAACTAACAGAAACTGAAAACTTGAGTTTGGTGCACATAGTTTTGTTATATTTTGGAATTACCTGATATTATAATCAAATTATATACAGTCATGCACCACACATAATGTTTCAGTCAACAACAGATCACATAATTGATGGTGATCCCAGATTATTACACGGTCTTATTACCGTAAATTTTTTTTGGTGTTTTTGCTGTTTTTTTTTTTTTTGTTTGAGATAGGGTCACTCTGTTAGGCTGGAGTGCAGTGGCACAATCAAGATTCACTGCAACCTTGACCTCCTGGGCTCATCAGCCTCCCGAGAAGCTACTATACCTTTTATATGTTCAAATATGCTTAGATACACAAATACTTACCATTGTGTTACAGTTGCCTACAGTGTTCAGTACGGTAACCTGCTGTACAGGTTGGTAGCCTAGGAGCAATAGGCTATACCATCTAGGTTTGTGTAAGTACACTCTATGATGTTCCCACAATGACAAAATTGCCAAACAGTGCATTTCTCAGACCGTTTCTGTGTCATTGACATGTGACTATAATTTGTATAATAAAAGTTATAACATATCTAAAGAGAATAAGATATATTTTACTTTATGGATAGCAGCATATTAGAAGTACCTTTTTTGTTAGTCAGTTTACTTTCGGTGGTATATTTCTCCCTGAAATGAAAATTAGCACTGTCCTTTAAGCTGTGTTAAAGTTAAGAAAAATTTTTATACCAGCTCATTTGTGATTTGTCACAAAATATTCAAGAATTACTAGATAGGAGAAATCTGCCATTTTAGTGCCAAAGTTGTTAGATATTCAAGACCAAGTTTATGTTTGCATTTGAGGGTTGGTATAAAGTTGGGAGCATCTGCAGTCTCTGGATTCACATCATGGATCCCACTTCATCCCAACTGTGTGTCCTTGGGTGAATATTCAGCCTCTCTGTGCCTCATTTTCTTCATTTGTAAAAAGAGATAGTAACGATAATAGCTACCTTATAGATTTTTTGTGAGGATTAAAGGAGTTAGTCCATGTAGAGTCCTTAGAACAGCAGCTGACAAAGAGTGGGAACTTGCTAAATGCTATTTTTATTTGATCTTATCCATGTATGAATAAATTTAATGTTCTAATTTTGTGGTAATCTTAATTAGATACTAGTCCGCAAGTAAAAAATCTTTGCATTGTATTTTTTCAAGTTTCAAAATCAGAAGGGACATACCAAGCTGGAAAAGAAGAAGGTAAAAGTACCGTTATTACAACAGAAGTAGCTAGTAATAACTGTTTTCAGGAACTAAATATAATTCAAGCCTCAAATGTTTTTGAGATACAACTTTTTGGAAATATATTCTGAGTAGGGCCAGGCGCGGTGGCTCACACCTGTAATCCCAGCACTTTGGGAGGCCAAGGTGGGCGGATCACAAGGTCAGGAGATTGAGACCATCCTGGCTAACATGGTGAAACTCTGTCTCTACTAAAAATACAAAAAATTAGCCAGGCGTGGTGGCGGGCGCCTGTAGTCCCAGCTACTCGGGAGGCTGAGGCAGGAGAATGGCGTGAACCCAGGAGGCAGAGCTTGCAGTGAGCCAAGATCGCACCACTGCACTCTAGCCTGGGCGACAGAGCGAGACCCCATTTCAAAAAAAAAAAAAAGAAGAAAGAAATATATTCTGAGTAATTATTAAGATGACTGAATTATAAATATTCTTTAAATAAATGCACTTTTATTATTTTCAGGCATGCGTAGTAACTCATATTACATTGATACATATCAAGCAGCTTAAACCAGGCTATTCTGAAGTAACAAATCCTGAAACTTTTTTTTTTTTTTTTTTTTTTTTGAGACGGAGTCTCGCTCTGTCGCCCAGGCTGGAGTGCAGTGGTGGGATCTCGGCTCACTGCAAGCTCCGCCTCCCGGGTTCACGCCATTCTCCTGCCTCAGCCTCCCAAGTAGCTGGGACTACAGGCGCCCGCCACTACGCCCGGCTAATTTTTTTGTATTTTTAGTAGAGACGGGGTTTCACCGTTTTAGCCGGGATGGTCTCGATCTCCTGACCTCGTGATCCGCCCGCCTCGGCCTCCCAAAGTGCTGGGATTACAGGCGTGAGCCACCGCGCCCGGCCCAAATCCTGAAACTTTTAAATGCCCACAACAAAGGTTTATTTCTTACTTATGCCACATGTTTATTGTGGGTCAATTATGGCTCTATTCCATGTTTTCTTCACTGTAAGATCCAGACTGATTGGGCAGGTTCTTTCTGAAACTTTCTTGGTTGTCATGGCAGAGAGCATAGAAAACTAATCCTTGTCTTTTAAAGCTTTTGCCCAAAATTGACACATGCCACTTCCATTTACATTTCATTGTCTAAAGCAGGGGTTGGCAAACTTTTTCTGTAAAGTGCCAGAGAGTTCATTTTTTTTTTTTTAGGTTCCACATATGGTCTCTGTCGCATTTTTTTTTTTTACAATTCTTTTTAAAAATGTAAAACCTTTCTTAGCATGCTGGCTGTACAAAAAAACAGACCACATGCCACATTCAGTTTGCCTCCTGTAGTTTGCTTACTTCTGATCTTAAAAGCAAGTCTTATGGCCAAGCCTGGGATCAACAGTGAGGGTCAGTGAATAACTGTAAACAATATTCCATACCGTGAATTGTAAGATTAATATAATCTGTATATTCACCTTATGATTTGCATATCAGTCAGTAGTTTGTAAATAAATTTGTGCTTTTATAGTACATGAATTTGCTCTCTTGGGACATTCTCTTTTACATCTTACTTAAATAATAGATTTGCATAACAAAGCCTTTCCTAAATACTCAACTGTGTCCAGTTATCACAGTTCCTGAATCCAAGTGTTTAATTTATAAAAATATTATTGAATGTGAAATACTTAAATATCTGACAAGTCGTAGTATGTGTTAAACAAGTTGGCCTGGACTGGCACTGCCAAAAGAAAATGCAAGAAAGAGTTTATTTTTACAGTTAAAGATAGTGGATTAGGCACATATAATTATTTATTCTTCCTGTAATCTCCACTGAAATGATAGTGTCATAGTTTACAACAATAAATACATATATATATATACATTCACATTTATACCCATGAAGTCTAAATAGCTGGAAAGAGGGCATCAGCAGATGAGACATACCACCTTCTGAAGACATTGTGGGTGGAGGCTGGTAACTGACTCTTTAGAAAGAATGGAGATAACTGAGCATAAAGTGCACACAGAAGGAGAGAACTAATCTGATCACACACCCATGAATACTACCAGGTACAGCATGGGGTAGCATGAATCTGGGGATTAAAAACAAGATAATCACTAAAAGCCTGTGAGATGTATAGTTGTATTTCCATCCAACATGAAGAATAGTGTCAGGCTTGTGTCTAGCCCTTGGGCAGTAAATAGCATAAGTTTCTTCTCTGGAAAATCTCAAGATTCCAAGCAAAGATTGCCCCATACTGACATTTAAGAGTCCCCAGGGAAATTGCCTTATCTCCATCTAATCATGTTTATGCCTGTCAGTGAACAAGTTGCATTTAAACGTTTAGAGTTTTTTGGGGAATGTATTCTTAAATATAAACAGGCAATCATGGCTGAGGAGACACTAAGGGAAAGCCTCCACCAGGAAAGAGAAAATCCAGGATAAACAGAAAATAAAATTATGCAACAGAAAGGGTCCATAATGGAAAGATGACAAGAAAACTAAAAACTAATTTTAATTAGTGTTTTCAGAAAGATGTGAGAAGACAAATTTTTTTAAAAGAGAAAAAATGCTCAGAAAAAGGAACAGTCATAGAAAAAAGGGTCTCTTGTAAATTACAAGTATGATCACCAAAACAAAGCAAATAGTAGAAGGGTCAGTACGAGGATTGGCAAACTATGGCCTTCCACCTGTTTTTGTAAAGAAAGGTATACTGGAACCCAGCACTGCCTATTTGTTTTCATATTGTCTATGGCTGCTTTCATGCTACAACAGCAGAGTGAGTAGTTATGACAGAGATCATATGCTCATGAAACCAAAAAATTTACTATCTGGCCCTTTACAGAAAAAGTTTGCTAACCCATTAATTAGAAGACAGAAATGAAAAAAAAAAATAAATAAATAACTCCAGGAAATATAAAAGGAAAATAGAGTGGAAAAGAAACAGATGGAAAGATTTAAAAAAGGATTAGAGATTAGACAATCCAGGAGGATTTAACATATGACTAACAGGTGATTCATAAAGAAAGAAAACAGAGGGGAGGAAGTTGTATTAAAAATACAAGGCAATGTGCCAAAGCTGAAGAGCTTGTCTCCAAATAAAGGATCTGAACAATAAATGAAAAAATCCAGACCTAGACACATCATTGTGAAATTTTAGAACACCAGGGGTAAAAGAAAATCCGGAAAGACCCCCTGATGACATAAAAATTAGAAAGATCAGAAGGGCATCAAACTTTTCAACTGTAAAGCTAGATGCAACAAGACAGTTAAGCTAAGGCTTCAAAATGGTAAAGAAACTTGATTTTCACTATATGAAGTGTTTCGATGTATAATCTCCTTAAATTCTAAACACAACACTATTATGGGTAGGTGTCATTATTTAATCCCCATTTTACAGATGACAAAACTGTAATTTTATGACTTTGACTATCCCAAAGTCACTGTGTTACATTTGATTGCTTGGCAAACTACAAATATTCCCAGCCCTTTCTAGTTTTTTTTGTGTGGTTTTTTTTTTTCCTGTACTTCAAGAGAAATATGTTTGAGATTCTGTAGCATTCTGGATGCTAGTCAGGTTCCAACAATTAAACACATTTGTGCATGATTTGCGAAGTTAAAGTGAAGGCAGAGGCCATTTTCTTACTGCTTCAGGCAGGCAAGTTCAAACGAAAGATGTTTTTCCTCCTCCAGTAACATTCTTTTTCTTTTTTTTTTTAGATTCAGGGGGTAGGTGTCCATGTTTGTTACAAGGATATACTGCATAATGCTGGAGTTTGAGCTTCTATTGAACCCATCACCCAAGTAGTGAGCATAGTACCCAATGAGTAGTTTCTCAATCCTTACCCCCATCCCACCCTCCCCCCTTTTGAAATTCCCGGAGTCTGTTGTTTCCATCTTTATGTGTACCCATTATTTAGTTCCCACTTACAAGTGAGAACATATGGATTTGATTTTCTGTTTCTGCGCTAATTCACTTAGGGTAATGGCCTCCAGCTGCATTGGTGTTGCTGCAAAGGATATGATTTCATTCTTTTTTAGGGCTATGGTATTCCATGGTGTATAGTAGCTAGTTTACCGCTTCATGTGCACTAAGAGGTAATTGCAATGGCCGTGAAGACTTTCTGATCTCTTGATCAAACTAAGATAGTATGTTTTTTAAGTCATATCTTCCTGCCTTCCCACTACTTAGTAGCTCCTTTGGGGGATCAGCTTTTCAGTGTTCTAGGAGTCATTTCTGCAGAACTAGCCTAAACCTTGCTACTCCAGCTCTTCTAACAATTTTGTAAGCACCTAATTTTCTGAATTAAATCTCTTTCTTAAAATACCCAAAGTGATTTCGTTTTCCTTCACTGATTCCTGACTGATGTAGTTCACAGAAGTTTAGTATTAATGATAGAATAAGAGGTTTTCAGATTTTAAAATTATATCTAGGCAGTCCATGCTATACTAAAACACTGCCAGTCATAACCAGGGTTTGATTCTAGTTAAAATGGTTTCTTAACATATAATGTCTAAGAATAATTACATTAGTGGAAAGAGGTAAAGAAAGGCAACGTCCAGCCAGGCACGGTGGCCCATGCCTGTAATCCCAGCACTTTGGGAGGCCGAGGAGGGCAGCTCAGGAGGTCAGGAGATCGAGATCATCCTGGCCAACATGGTGAAACCCCATCTCTACTAAAAATACAAAAATTCACTGTGTGTGGTGGTGCACGCCTGTAATTCCAGCTATGCGGGAGCCTGATACAGGAGAATTGCTTGAACCAAGGAGTCAGAGGCCACTGTGAGCTGAGATCACCCCAGTGCACTCCAGCCTGGCGACAGAGTGAGACTCCGTCTCAAGAAAAAAAAAAACAGAAAGGCAACATCCACTTACTTTCTTCAGCTTGAAAAGTGCTTCCGTGTACTGGGTGCAATTTTAAGCATGATATATATTAACACGTTTACCCCTGAGATAGGTACTATTATCCTTAATTTATGGCCAAAAAAAAAAAAATGCATAGAAAGGTTAACTGAATTGCCCAAAGTCACATGCTTAAGAAGAGGCAGAGTGAGGATTTAAATTCATCTGTCTCCACAGTCTGTTCTTTCAGCTATTCTATACTTTATCATTATATCTTTGTAACACTAAATTTGACCTGAAAGGGGGTTAAATTTGTCTGGGATTGTTGATAGAACCAAGTTTAAAGTATGAACATGTTTTTATTCCCATGTAATTTGTTTTTTATTAGATGTGAAAATCTTTCAGAAACCCTAAAATGTCAAGATTGTGATTTTTAGGACAAAAATACAACGTAAAGTAGATCCAGAAATGAGAACTAAAAGTACTCTTTTCATCATCGGTACTGGTATGCTGCTGAAAATATATTATGACCAAAATAATTTTATGAAAAAGTGCTGAATTCTCTCTTTGTGGATCCTTGCCATTTCTTTTTAAATTTTGGTCCTTTTGGATGTTTCTCACCATTTTCCTCTGAATCTTTTATGGTTCTGTACCCTAGGATGTATCATGAAATATGTTAACTCACTTAAAATTTCATAGCTCTGATCAATTTAACAGTTTACTAAATTGTGTGAGTGACATATAGAGAAAGAAGTAGAGGCTTTTGATAATGTTATGTTCCTTAGTGGATGGGGTTCTATGGCTGTTGAGTGGGCAGGGGCTTGGATATTTAAAATAGGAAAAATGGTAAAATGTGCTTTCACAGGTAGTCCCTACCTAATGAATGTATTGTGGTCCCATACTCATTTATAAGTTAAAAGTTCATTTGCAAGTCAGCATGTAGAAGTTTGAACTAAAGCTGAGTATTATAAAAGCACTAAAGATTCTAGGAGAACGTAAGTACCACTTAGACTTTATTTTCATTGGATAATGAGGTAGACATATTTCCCATTCTTACCCTCACTCCCAGGGCAGTGGCTTGAGCAATCTATAAGTGGAGATCCTCAGGGAGTTGCTAAGGAGACCCTCTATTGAGGACTTTGGCGGGGGAGGTGACAGTGTAAGTATGGCTGTGTTGGTGGTGGCTACAGCAGATGCCCTCAGCAAACTTCCTCTTAGATTCCATTGGCTAGGATTTGGTCATATACCCATGGCATCTGCCAGAAAGACTAGAAATGCAAGTGCTGGCATTTTTAGTCTCCAAAGTAGGAGGAGAGCCCTTCCAACAAGAAATGAAGAGGTTGGCAGTGGCTGTTGAGCAGGCAAACAACAGTGTTCACTGTGACTTACAACCAGGAATTTTGGTAGCGGTCTTCAAATTCATGCTTTAATATGAAACTATCCTTTTGGATGAATGTACCTAAAATGAATAATTTCTCCTTTAAGTTTCTCCTCTCTTTCCAAGTATATAATATTTTATTTTTAAAATTGGATGATCAGGGCAGGGCACAGTGGCTCACTCCTGTAATCCCAGCACTTTGGGAGGTCGAGGTGGGTGGATCACCTGAGGTCAGTAGTTCGTGACCAGCCTGGCCAACATGGTGAAACCTCGTCTCTACTAAAAATACCAAAAATTAGCTGGGCATGGGGGCGGGCGCCTGTAGTCCCAGCTACTCGGGAGGCTGAGGCAGGAGAATTGCTTGAACCTGGGAGGCGGAGGTTGCAGATTGTGCCCAATATCGCGCCATTGCACTCCAGCCTGGGCAAAAAGAGAAAATCCATCTCAGTAAAATAAAATAGGATGATTAGATCTATGACTATTAATTATTTTCAAGGTAGATTTTTAAGGCCAGGTATGGTGGCTCACGCCTGTAATCCCAGCACTTTGGAAGGCTGAGGCAGGACGATCGCTTGAGGTCAGAAGTTCGAGACCAACCTGGACAACACAGGGAGACCCAGTCTCTACAAAAAATGTTTTAAAAAATTAGTTGGGCATGGTGACACATGCCTGTGGTCCCAGCTACTTGGGAGGCTGAGGTGGGAGGATTGCTTGAGGCTGGGAGATTGAGGCTGCAGTGAGCCATGGTCACACCATTGTACTCTAGTCTGGGTGACAGAGCGAGACCCTGTCTCAAAAAAAAAAAAAAGTAGATGTATATATGTAGCTCTTCACTAGTAAACAGCTATCTTATATTGTAAATGCAAACAAAAGTTTGCAACTCATATACAATATTTATTTTTCCTTTCATCTTCTTTTAATAAGAACTTAGACTTGTTTACCTTTGGAAAATATTTTTCACTTTTATATTACATTAGAAATGCCACTCTTTAAAAATCAATATTTAAAATGCAAAATTAGTAGCTGAAGTGTTTGTTCTGAAACAGATCCACTACCCTCTTATGTCCTACAGAATTTCTGAGTAAGCTCTACCAATCATTTGCATCAGAATCTTATGGAATACGAACAGTGTCTATTTCGGGGACTCAACACTAGATCCACTAAATCAGAATCACTGGAAAGCAGCCTAGGAATCTATTTTAAACAAATTGCCCAAGTGATAGTAGCATACACTAAAATATCAGAACCACTGATACATAAATTGTTTTCCCGAAGAACATTGTGGATATGAGTGAGTTGAAGTATATATTTTGGAATAAGTTCTGAGGACATATTTTGGTCTGTTTTTTTGTGTTTCATCAGATTTTTCCATCTTTTACTGCCTTTGTTTTCCTTTTCAAATATTTAGCAATGTATGTTCCTTAGGTATCCAAAAAAATAGCTTCAGGAGTAGAATTATAAAGAAGTACAAATGAAATTATAGTAAAAATATTAAGAAAAGTTTCCTTTTTAGAAATCCCCTACCATCATTTAATCATATAAAAAGCCAGAGATTACACTGAATAATTATTTGCATCAGTTAAGATTCTGTCAGTTTCAAGTGAATGCACACCAACTCAAAATGGTTTAAGCAATAATAAAGACCTAGAGAGTAGGCCTTTCTTCAGGCATGACAGAAGTAATATTACCAAGGTGCTGGTTTCTCTTTCTACTCTCTTCCCCGACCCTGCCTTCCATGCATCAGCTGCATAATCAGGTTTCACATAATGGCCGTCTTGAAACTCCTTGTGTCTCACTGAGTTGTGTGCCCATTCCAGAACCAATCACAGTGGCTACAGGGATGGGACGCACTGATTAGCTTATGCCCTGGAGCTGCTGGTTGGTCGGTCACCTTCCAAATCACATTAGATGAAAGTTAGAAAGGAGTTAAGTTCATGGTACCACCACTAAAAGGAAGTGATGAATGGATGCTAGGGACATAACCAGCTAATGTCTACTGTAATATTTATTTAAACTTTCTTGATAATAATGTTCACTAAACCTTTAGTGATTGGACATAATATACATGAAATCCTATTTTAATCAGTTTGATGCTGCATCAGAATTAGGCAGAATTTTCTGCACATTGCCTTTAGGAAACTTGAGGTCTATTTCACACAATCAGTGTCTTTCTAATATGCTTAATTGGCTATGAGCTAAGTAAGCCCTGAAAACGGTGATTCTCAATCTTAATTACACTAGAATGAGTTGGAGAGTCTTCAAAGTAAAGATGCTCAGGCTCCCACTTAGACCTGTTGATTTGTGGGGCCTGAGTATCTGTATCTTGTAAAAGCTCTACAAGAGCCTCTAATATCAAAACTGCATCAATTGTCATTGCCCCACAGAATCTATCTTACTTTCATATCTTCTTCTTCACTGTCATTTTCTGGATAGCCCCAGGACTGCAATGAGTCACTGTTGAGTTCTGAAATATCTGTCGGGTCTGACCATAGACTTAACATGAAACAAACCATATCATTCAGAAAACTATTATAAAACTGTTTTTTCCAAAACTGCTCAAACTGCAACCAGCTAAACGAATGGAAAGAAGTACTTATACACACTATTAAATGTTAACCATTTCATTGCCCTTGGCTTCTTTCAAAATTTTACATTTCATATATACTGTAAAATATTAAAATTATTTCTCTCCTTGATTCATTAGAAGCTTAGTACATTTTGAGAGCAGAAAAAAACAAAAAACATTTTAAGATGGATTAAAGTCATTATGACCATGAGAAAAAAAATGGTTTTTTTTCCAGTGTTCATTGTATGTAACCTAGAGTATTATAGATTACATTTTTCTTTGGATTCAGTTTATTTAAACAAAGTTTATTGTGGCATTGAAGATATTAGAACTAAATTTTTAAGAAACTGACAAATTCATCATTTCCTGGGCTTCACTGGTCATTTAGGAATACTGATTTGGAAAATATGCCAAGTGGCCCATTAATTATCCACAAGGCCATTTTTACGGTGTATAGTCCCACCTGGACTGTCCTGAACTTCACAGTGTAAAATGACAGAAGGAATGAAAATGACATTAAAAGATTTGTTCCAAAATAACACATCGTGATAAAGTGAAATAGAAACCATTGCTATTTCTATAGCCATTAACTTTCCATTTCCTGAGAAATGCTTTTAATACTCTATGAGGATATATACAGAAACAACAGTAATAACATCATATGTAATAACTCAGGTAGCTAGAGAATTCACGATGAAGTTGGTCTCAGAAATATACTTCTGTATTCCTATTTTAATGAACATATAAATCATATTTTGCCATTATATTTGTCGGTAACTTATTCATAACATTTGAAATTTGAATCAGAAATAATCTTCAAACAGTCTGTTTTGTGGCATAAGAGAATTGTTATGACCACTTTAACGTTTAAGAAAGGAAATTTGAAACTCACGGTATTCATAAATTTAAACTGAAATCATCATTGTCCTAATTCCTTAGTGAGAATGTGTTTAAGATTTTAATTCATATGAAGTGGTTAGCACAGTTCCTGGGACTTAGTAAACAGTCAGTAAATAATAGTTGTGTTAATATTATCATCATCACTGTTGTTTCTACTACCATCACCGCTGTGACTGTCACCTTTTAGCCACTTCTTTCTTAAGGATAGTTTAATTTGATTTCCTTTTAGTTGGAATTGACAAGTTGTTTTCATAATCCATTTTGTCCCTCTGAACGTCTTGCATGAGTAATTTTAAAAAATTTTCTCCCTTTTATATGAATAGTCTTATTAATATATGTAGAACTTGTTATAAAATATGAAAGAAAATGTAAATTGTTAAAGTCTTAATTGCACAGTAGAATGGTATATACTATACTAAATATCTTTCATGCCTTATGCCACTTTTTCGTAGAGGCAAGACTTATGGAAAATTATCCTTCTATTTTTTATCATTATTTATATATATATGTATATGTACATATACATATTTACATTTATATTTATTTCTATACCTATATATTGAAAGCCATGCATTCACATTGAGACTACCAATTTTAATTCAGCACCACAGGATTCATACTAATTTTCTCCCTTTTTATATGTGTAGCTACCTTTTTCCATAGTGAAAAGCATGGCTTCTGTTATCCTTAATGTATTAACTCATTTGATCAGTCTCTTTGAATGTAGCCAGTGTTCTGTTGCAGCCATCCCTTCTTCCATATAAACATATTCATTCCCAAACTCAGGTTCTAACTCCCTGTGTTTATTTTCTCCTCCTGCATGAAGTCCTCATTGTATTTGGCCTCTGACACCAAGTAAAAGCTCTCCTCACCCTGCAAAGGTTTTGAAGCCTCATACCAGGCTGGCCCTGATGCAGGACACCAGCCTTGGGCTCTGACATCCCACACTAGACCACTCTTCTACGGAAACACTCTCCTTACTCTACTTGGAACCTGATACCTGAACTGGCTCACCCCTCTGAATGGGTGCCCTTCTCACCCTGCAGAAGGTTCTGGCAGCCCATTCTGTGTTACTATGTGTTGCCCTCAATGAAATGTCTTCTTTACCCCACCAAGGCTCTACACCCCAGGCAAGGCCATCCCTCTGTGGAAATGTTCTCCTTATTCTGCTCAGGATCTGATGGCCACCACCAGGCTGCCCATCTGGGCTCTCTCCCCACGCCAAGTCCACCTCTTCATATCTTTCTTCCCATCCTGGCATGGACATCCTGTTCACCCTGCTGGTGTGCCACGTGCCACTCCTCTGTGAGGACACCCTCCTCACCCTGCTTGGACATAATTGATTTTTTTTAACTTTTATTTTAAGCTCAGGGGTACATGTGCAGGTTTGTTGTATAGGTAAACTTGTGTCATAGGGGTTTATTGTACAGATTATTTCATCACCCTTAATTGGTTTTGTAAGTTAATGACCCCTCGACAGTCCCTCTATAAAGTCTAAGATGATGATGATTTTATATATTGTGTGTGTGTGTGTGTGTGTGTGTGTGTGTGTGTGTAGCCACTAACTTATATTGACCATTACGCACATGTGGCCATACTTTATGTCTCAGATAATTCAGATATTTCCCTTTTCCAGATGTCTATGAAATGGCCACCAAGTATAATCTTCAGAGTATTGCAACTAGATATAATTTTTGGCCTTCTGAGATTAAAGACAGAGAAACTGAGTGGTGGAACTGTCCATGGTACTGACAAGTCCCTAGCCTCTCTTCTGGATTCTAGCGTAGCTGCCTTAAATCCGACCATTGTGAATCTTCCCCACTGTTACAGATCTAACTATACCTCTTACTTGTTTCTGAGATTTTTTTTCTAAAGCCCTGTAAAACCTGACTTCATTTCCACACTTTGACTGTCTAGGAGCTTTTGTAAATCTGTACACCATTCTCTGAATTTATTATATCTTACTCTGATCTTTTTATTTTCCCACAATGGTCAGAGGACCTTTCTATAAGCCAGCTGGAGGATAACTAACTTCAAAAGGTGGTACCTTCTTTTAATTAATAGACATGCTCATATGTTAGAGTCCTAATGTTGCAGTTATACCCCTTTCTAGGAGGAGAACTTTCTGAAAGTGCACATATATTTCTAGCAAAGCATCTTAGCAGTTGCCCTCAGGTCAGGTTCTCTGGAGAATCAGACTCAGTTTGGGAGGCAGTGACTTTTGCTGTATTCCACTGGGATATAGGTTCTTCAACACTTATTATTCCTATAATATAATGGATGCAGCTTTTGTGACAACCTCAAATTTATACCAGAAGCTATTATCACTGGAGAAGTCCTCAGATTCTTATGCTGCTCTTCATATTTACTGAAAGTATAATAAGAAATGAGTTAATAGATATTGTATAGCAAATAGGTTTATTTCATTTGATAGCAGAGGACACCAGTAAATGCTTAAATCTGATTGAGTAGCTGGAGTTAGTCAATAGTGGTGCCAGTAATGGTGAATCTGATAGTGGTGTCCAGTGTATTAGTATTTTCTCTTGCCTCCCATATTTTATTAATATATTCACTTATCCATTCTAAGTGAACTGACAGAAAGATCAAAACCTCTGTACTTTCTGAAGTATTATTCCTTTTGCTTCTTGTGCAAGGTGGAGGTGAATAAAAATTTGTAAGAATCCTAGAGCTGAGTACTAATTTTGATGTTTTTTTGGCAACTGTCTGGTTGTTTATTTTTGAGAACCTAGCCCAAAAGATGTCTTAGTCACAGCTGATTATCTTATTTACTCTTTTTTTTTTTTTTTTGGAGAGCTTATTCAAGTGTAAAGTGTGGGGATGGACCACTCAGAAACACCAACTCCATAGGAATGGAGTTGGCATTCCAAAGTAGGGAAGCTAAAGTTTCATTTGTATAGGCAGAGACAGAGGAGCTTTTGGCAGGATTACAACATTATTCATGTAAGGGTTGGCACATAGTTACAATTTGATTGGTTAGGTTTTGTTGTTGTTGATTTTTATTTATTTATTTATTTATTTTTGAGATGCAGTCTCATTCTGTCACCCAGGCTGGAGACAAGGTCTTGCTCTGTCACCCAGGCTGGAAGGCAGTGGTGCAATCGTGGCTCACTGCAGCCTCAACCTCCCAGGCTCAAGCGATCCTCCCACCTCAGCCTCCTGAGTAGCTGAGACCACAGGTGCATGCCACCACACCTGGCTAATTTTTAAAATTTTTTTTGTAGAGACAGGAGTCTCACTATGTTGCCAGGGCTCATCTTGAACTCCTGGGCTCAAGCAATCCACCCGCTTCAGCCTCCCAAAGTGCTGGGATTACAGGTGTGAGCCACCACACCCTGTTTTGATTATCTTGCTCTTAACTATGCATTACTCTTATTTATTTGAACATCTGTATCTAAGTTTTACAGTTTTAAGCTTAGCATCATCATTAGTATTAATGAAATAGAGCCCTGAGTTTCTTGCCTTAGTTGAACACATACTTAAATCATTTGTAAAACACTTCAACTGTTTACAGAGTGTTTTCACATACAGTATACCTTTAAAGCTTCATACTTTTGTCCTTAAACTCACCATATACAATAATGAACTCCTTTCTGCCCCTACCCCTAAACATGCTTTTCCTCCTCCTCCATTTCCTAAATCATTTTACAGTACCACTGTAAAACTGTTGATAAAGCTAGGAGCCATAACCTCATCATACAAATCTCATCCTGTCGATCTGGGTTCATTGAGTTTCTCAAAGGTTTGGATTTGTAGTTTTAATTAAAGGGAACCTTTTGCCAGTACTTCTTCAAATATTAATTCTGGCCACATAACCCCTTTCTGAAACTCTGATACATATATATGAGACCCTTTGAAGTTGTCCCAACTCACCGATGCTGTGTTCTTAATTTTTGTGTTCTTAATTTTTTTCCCTGTCTTTTTTTTTTTCAAAAACAGAGTCTCACTCTGTCACCCAGGCTGGAATACAGTGGCACAATCTCAGCTCATTGCAACCTCCACCTCCCGGGTTGAAGTGATTCTTCTACCTCAGCCTCCCGAGTACCTAGGATTACAAGCATGCACCACCACACCTGGCTAATTTTTTGTATTTTTAGTAGAGACAGGGTTTTGCCATGTTGGCCAGTTTGGTCTCAAATTCCTGGCCTCAAGTGATCCACTGGCCTCACCCTCCCAAGATGCTGGGATTACAGGCATGAGCCACCGCACCTGGCTTCCCTGTCTTTTTTTTCCTCTGTGGTTTGATTTTAGACCTTCTATTGCTGTATCTTTGGGTTCATTGATCTTGTCCTGTGCAATGTCTATGTTGGTAATCCAGTCCAGTGTATTTCTCATCTCAGATAGATTTTTCAGCCTCTATAAGTTAAATTTTGGTCTATTTTATATAGTCTGTGTCTCTTCTTAACAAGCCCATGTTTTCTTCTATTGTCTTGAACCATGGGACATATTTATAATCGCTGTTTTAAGGTCCATGTCTACAAATTCTATCATCTGTTTAGTTTCTGGATCAGTTTTTATCAATTGACTTTTTTTCCTTAATATGGGTTTTATTTTCCTTCTTCTTTTCATGCTTGATAATTTTTAATGGATCCCAGATATTGTGGATTATACATTGTTGGGTGCTAAATTATTTTGTTTTCTCTTACTTTTGAGCTTTGTTCTTGGATGCAATCAGGCAACTTGAAAACATTTTGATCCTTTTGAGGCTTGCTTTTAAGTTTTGCTATAGAAAACTAGACATTGTTTATTCTAGGGCTAATTTGACCCCACTACTCAGGCAATTTCCTTCTAAGTACTCAACTCAGTGCCCCATATATTATGTTTTCTACACTTTGTTCAGAATGTGAATTATTCTCAGGCCTATGTGAGTTGTGGGGATTGTTCTGCTTGATTCCTTCCAGCACTTCTTTCCTTGGCCATAGGTAGTTTGGGATTCAAAATGAATTTTTAAACTATGAGTGAGACTTAAGCATATTTAAATATGGCTGAGACAAATTCACTGAAGCCTGATATTTAGGATGTGAGACAAGAAGCCTGTAGAAAATAGGATCCAGACAGCAGGTGGAGAAATTGGTCTGAAATACAAGGGATGCCTCCTCTTACAATGGTAAGAAAGAAGGAGAGAATCCAGATGTCAGAAAGTTTGTAGATATTTTCACAGGAAGTTGAGGAAGTTTCCACATATTGAGAGGTGTGTGTGTATGCGTGCATGTGTATGTGAGAGAGAGAGAAGCAGGAGGCAGGAATGAGTAAGGAGAAAGGGAACGGGGTCAGTGATTTTAGGAGAATGGAACTGGGTCAGCTGATTTTAGAAAATGGAAGATTTATAATAATTGGGGAAATGGAAAAATAAATTTACCCGAGAAGTATAACTAGATTGTAAGTATAGCCAGATGATGGCCAAAGTTCCAATTCATCCCATTGTGTGATGCTTTTCCTAGTACAATCAAGGAGTTAATTGGTTCTTCCAAGGTTAGCGTTTTGGCAGCTTGGAATGCCAGCTTGATAGAGGAAGAAGTAAGGACAAGAAGGGGCTGATGAACAAAAAGTATAGTGTCAAGCACTGAAGGTCCAGTCAAAGCATGGTGTTATGAGAGCAGTTGAGTGGGCAAATTATGTTAGAAAAAAGAGGTGTAGTTAGCACCTGTTTTACTTAGTAACTTTGGCGAAGACCTCACCGTAGCCTCTGGTGGTGCCGAGGCCCAATAAATAATAGTGAGACTGGGAGGGAGAAGTCATTAGAGATGAGAAAATCAAATAACTTAGTGTGCAGACTGTTAGAAGGATCATTCATGTGGAAATTTAATTCACCTTAAGTCACATTAAGTCAGAGAGATGTTAGGGTACAGGGGAATCTGTGAGCCAGGTGGAATTCTTCACTAAAGGAGCAGGCCTCACTAGATGATTAGCAGTTGAAACATTGCTGAGAGGGAGAAGATGGTACAGTCAGATGGCAGGAGCTTCAGACTGAACCACAATCTGCAGGAGTGCCTCATGGATCCTGGTAACATATGCTTGAAAATTTTATACAAATGAATTTCTGTCAGTGTTTGGGCAGATTTGAAGGGACTTACCCAATTTTGTAATTTGTATCAATCCCCTCTGAAGGCCCAAACAATATCGGGAACTCTGAAGAGGAGGCAGGTGTGGGCCCCAGATTTGAAAGGTAAACTCGTAGGACACAGCCTCCTTCACCTCCTATGCTCACATTCTTGATGGGCAGTTACCATACCCCCACCAAAAATCATCACCATCCCACTGGCACTCTTCCTTGGTAGAAATGTGGGGACCTCACTACTCTTGTGAATTATAGAGGGAAAAATAATGAAAGTGAATATGAGGATGAAGCCAGATTATAAAGATCCTCAAAAACAGAATAAGGGATTTAGACTTCTTAGTAAAAAGACCATTCGAATTAAGAGTCCAGAATCCTAAGTCCTAGTCCATTTTCTCCAGAACAACTAGATATGTTAAAACTTTCAGAAAGATATTTAATTAACCTCTCCAGGCCTTATTTTTTTTTTTCATTTCTAAGGTAAATAGGTAGAGTAGGTTGATTTGAACCATGTTCTCCAGAAATGCTCTGGGATTCTGGAAATGTTTGCTTCAAATTTCTTTTTTTTTTTTTTTTGAAATGGAGTTTTGCTCTTGTTACCCAGGCTGGAGTGCGGTGGCGCAATCTCACCTCACTGCAACCTCCGCCTCCTGGGTTCAAGTGATTCTCCTGCCTCAGCTTCCTGAGTAGATGGAATTACAGGCATGCGCCACCACGCCCAGCTAATTTTTGTATTTTTAGTAGAGACGGGGTTTCACCATGTTGGTCAAGCTGGTCTCAAACTCCTGACTTCGTGATCCACCCGCCTCAGCCTCCCAAAGTGCTGGGATTACAGGCGTGAGCCACTGCGCCCAGCCTCTTTTTTTAATTATAATTTAAAATGGTAAATAAAAAAAAATCAACATAAACACATGCTGTGTACTAAATTTTAATCTATTGGAAATTGTTTACATGTTAACTCACTGTATTAGTCCATTCTCAACACTGCCAATAAAGACATACTGAGGCTGGGTAATTTATAAAGAAAAAGGGTTTAATGGAC
The DNA here is from genome assembly GCF_000001405.40 of Homo sapiens. Taxonomy (NCBI): domain Eukaryota; kingdom Metazoa; phylum Chordata; class Mammalia; order Primates; family Hominidae; genus Homo; species Homo sapiens. The sequence goes on from NC_000001.11 coordinate 210,138,164, forward strand.
TCATAGTTCCACATGACTGGGGAAGTCTCACAACCATGGTGGAGGCAAATGAGGAGCAAAGTCACATCTTACATGGCGACAGGCAAGAGAGCCTGTGCAGGGGAACTGCCCTTTATAAAACCATCAGATCTCATGAGACTTATTTACTATCAAGAGAACAGCACAGGAAAAACCCACCCCCATGATTCAATTACCTCGCACCAGTTCCCTCCCATGACATGTGGGGATTATGGGAGCTACAGTTCAAAATGAGATTTGGGTGGGGACACAGCCAAACCATATCACTCACTATCTACTTTTTTGTCTTCTATAGATTTACTAATAAAGCCACTTCTCCCATATCTCTCTATATATTTGAAATTCTTGTAATTGTGACTTGGGAATAGCTATAGGTTGGTGTTGATATATTGTTTAATTGCTATATATTGTTTAATTTAGTCCTATATATGTCTGCCAAAAAAATTCTATTAATACTAAATTCATACATCACAGTCACTGCTTTTTCTATATTTAAAAAATCAGGTAGTTTTAATTATTTGCATAAAATCAGGGTAGTTTTCTTTAAAATATAAGCAATCATTATAGTAATGGTTTAACTTAAAAAGTTTCTGTAATGTTCCCTAACTTTATCTTTCAATTTTCTTGGTCAGTTCAATGAATTAATATTCTGACATTGCAAGACAAGGTAATTCACAACTTATCAGCTCTTTATTGATTTTATACATAAAATAAAACACAAACACTGGATGCAAAGTTAATATATGACTAAACTGTTACCAACAAACCTAAATATCAAATTTCATTTTTTATTGAAATAGCCTGTTATAATTTGAGCTCAGTAATAAATGTACTAATACAATGCTATACTTACCTGTTTCATGTATTTGAACGTGGAATAAGATTTTATTTTTTTAAAGAGTACTTTTATTTTTTTTTTTTTTGAGACAGAGTCTTGCTCTGTCACCTAGGCTGGAGTGCGGTGGTGTAATCTCAGTTCACTGTAACCTCCACCTCCCAGGTTCAAGCAATTCTCGTGCCTCAGCCTCTCAAGTAACTGGGACTACATGCGTGTACCACCAGGCCTGGCTAATTTTCTTTTTTCTTTTTTTTTTTTTTTTTTTTTTGATTTTTAGTGGAGATGGGGTTTTGCCATGTTGCCCAGGCTGGTCTCCAGCTCCTGCTAGGATTACAGGTGTGAGCCACCACACCCAGCCAAAAGGGTACTTTTACTACAACTTTTTGAAAACCACTGGATTAAATTATCTTTGAGATTCTTTCTAAGATTGTATTATTCTGAAATAGGGATCCTGTAAGTAATTTTTCATAACTATTGAGACATGATTCACAGATCATAAAATTCACCCTTTTATAGTGTAAAAGTCATGATTTTTAGAATATTCACATAGTTGTGCAGCCATCACCATGATTTAATTTCACAATATTTTTATTATCCCCGCCACGAAAACTCTGTAGCCATTAGCAATTACACCTCCTGGCAACCACTAACCTATTTTTTGTCTCTATGGTTTTGCCTCTTCTGCACATTTTATATGAATCAAATCATACAATATGTGGCCTTTTGTGTTTGATGACTTTTACTTAGCATGATGTTTTCAAGGCTCATTCATGTTTTATCATGTATCCATACTTCATTGTTTTTTGGGGACTTAATAATATTCTTTGTATGGATATACCACATTTTGTTCATCTTTTCATTCATTGACATTTGGGTTGTTTCCATTGGCTTTTATGAATAATGCTGCTATGAACATTTGTGTACAAGTTGTTGTGTAGACATATAGTTTCATTTCTCTTGAGTATATGTCCAGTTCTAGAGCTGTATTTATTCTTAACATTTCTGGGAACTGCCAAACAGTTTTTCAAAGTAGGTGCACCATTTTACTGTCCCACCAGCAATGTATGAGAGTTTCAGTTTCTCCACATTCTCTTCAACACTTGTTATTATCTGTCTTTTTATGTAAGCTATCCTACTGGGTATAAAGTGGTATCTTATTATGGTTTTGATTTGTATTTCCCTAATGACTAATGATGTTGAGCATCTTTTCATGTGCTTATTGACCATTCGTGTATCTTCTTTGGATAAATTTCTATTAAAATCCTTTGCCTATTTTTTTGCCTTTGGATAAATTTGGATAAATTTTGCCTTTGGATAAATTTCTATTAAAATCCTTTGCCTTTGTCTCTTTATTTTTGAGCTGTAAGAGTTCTTTACATATTCAGGAAATCGGTCCCTTATAAGATAAGTGATTTGATAATATTTCCTCCTATTCTGCTTTTCTTTTTACTTGATGATGTTCTATGAAGCACAAGGTTTTTAATTTTGAGAAATTCAGTTTATTGATTTTTTCCTTCTGTTGCTTGTGTTGTTAGTGTCTTATCTATGAAACCATTGCCTAATATAAGATAAAGATTTACTACTATGTTTTCTTCTAGTAGTTTTATGGTTTTAGCTCTTAAATTTAGGACTATGATCCATTTGAGTTGATTTTTTAATACGGTGTGAGGGAGAGGTCCAAATTAATTCTTTTACATGTGGATATCCAGTTGTCCCAACAATTTGTTGAAAAAAAATCTTTTTTTCATTTATTTGTGTTGGCACCCTTGTTGAAAATGAATTGCCCATAAATGTAAGTTTTTATTTCTGAACTGTCAATTATAGTTCGTTAATCTATTTGTCTATCCTTCTGCCAGTACCACACTTTCTTGATTATTGAAGCTTTATAATCAGTTTTAAAATTGGGAAGTGTGAGTCCTCCAACCTTGTTATTGTTTTTCAAGATTGTCTTGGCTATTCTGGGTCCCTTGCACTTACATATGAATTTTAGGACACTTAAATTTTAGGATTGACTTCTTTGTTTCTGCAAAAAAAAAAAAAAAAAAGAAGGCCATAGCAATTTTGATAGGGATCGCATCAAATCTGTTTGATCCGTACTTTGGGCTACATTACTGTCTTAACAATTTAAGTCTTCCAGTCCATTAGCATGAGATGTCTTTTCATTTATTTAGGACTTCTTTGATTTCTTTCAAAAGTGTCTTGTAACTTTCGTGTAATACAAATTTTACAGTTTTGTTAAATACATTCCTAAGTATTCTATTCATATTGAGGCTATTGTGAATGGAATTGTTTTCTTAATTTTTTGTTTTCTAATTGTTCATTGCTAGTGTAAAGAGATAAAATTGATTTTCATATATTGATCACAAATCCTGAAGCTTTGCTGAGCATATTCATTAGTTCTAGTAGTTATTTTCTTCATGTGCATTTTAGGATTTACTGCATAGGAGATCATGTCATCTGTGAATAGAGGTAGTTCTGATTCTTCACTTCCAATCTGAATGCCTTGACAAAGACATTCTCCTAGACTAGTCGCCCCCATAGTTTATTGTTGCTGTTTGTTGTTGTCATTCCTCTTTGATGACTTTCTTGGTTTTTGTAAAGTCTATATTATTGTCATGTGCATCTCAGTTAACATTAGTGGTCAGCTCAGCTAACAACTGGACAGAGATTTCATTAAGTCTTTGCTGAGGGGTTCTGTGTATATTGAGCCATGCTTTCAATGCTCCAAGAGTCAGTTTACAACTGTGCCTTAACTTTCACTTTCTGCATGCACAGAGCAGCAAGATCAGCTAGAGGTAAGAGACTAGGACCTTCTCAAGTTTTTTCTGGGCATGCACATAGCTTTGCACATGTGTGTAGACTGCTAGATTTCCAGAAATGCCTTAGAACTTTTCAGAGATCCCTATTAACATCTCATTCCCTAGATTTTGCTCTTATTTTTTCATTGGCCAGAGCCAGTACTGCTTCTTTGGTGACTGCCATGTTAAACACTTGCCACTGATTGTTTCCAACAGATGTTCTAAGGATATAGTTCTTATCAATCTGAGTCAAGTAAAATCAAAACAAAGCCTGAGAATGGAACTTTTCACAGAACTGTGAGACAAGTGAAGTAATGTCATTTCTCTGAAGATGGGGCTCCTGGGCACTCCAAACCCATTCTTCCCCCCTCCAGCATCTATGAGGCTGTTGGATTTCACAGTTGCAAGTGTTGGCTTTCAACACTACCAGGGAACTGGGGAGAGGGTAATGGGAATAGGGTATATTTAAAATGCCACAAACCTTGGTAGTTCTCACAGTATTGAGCCATTTTTCTTGAATAAACACTCCTTGGAGTGTTGCAGGCCTTTAGTTAGTTCAGAGTTCTGAAAAAGTTTTTTTTGACAATGTTTGCCAGTGTTCATGTTGCTTTTATAGAGGAGCAGACTTTCAGAGGTCCTTACTTCACCATTCTGCCTGTAAGGGTGTTTGAGTAGAGGTGTGTCCCCACCAAAGCCAGGTGTATGGAAGTCTAGTTTACCAGTGTCTGATGTCCATATGCTGGCATGGAGATTGGTGAACTGTAGTGTGATGAGCTGATCCAAAATGGCCATTCAGTTAAGGAAAACTAAGAACGTTACCAGAAAAAAGATACAAGGCCAAAAGTTCAAAGATTTAAAAGTAAGTAACAGATTGAGCTGACATGGAGGATGACCTGATTGAGCATAGGAGACCTCTCCTGTGCCTGCTCTCTGCACCCCTTCCTCCCCCATTTCCCACTGTTTGCATTCACGGCAGACTACACAGATAATAGTGTAGAAGAAGCATCAGAATGGGGAAAAGATAACTAAGATGAAATTGCATTATGGAAATATAGTGATCTATTTTTAAAACACTTATGTGTTAGCTCACGTAATCTTATCACTTGAGAGGACATGAACATGAATCTCTGTTTTATAACGGAGAAAAATGAGACTTTCAGTAGATCAATTACTTCCCAGGCTTAGGGCTAGCAACAGGTAGAACTACTCCTAGCTCTTTTGATTTGTCAAGTACTTTTTGCACTATTAGATAATAACACTCTATTAGAGGAGTTTTAGTAGTAAGGAAGAGCCTATTTTGAGATACTATCCGGAGGAAAAATCACCAGTGTATATCTGGTTGGTCATGTGAGATTAAAAAAGAGAAGATGCCCAAAAGTTGGAAAAGGTAATGCATTAGAAGTGTAATTTTAAAACATTGCAGCTAGCCAAAAAACAAGTGCCATTCTAATGTAGGGAAATAAAGATCAAGTTGCTATTAATTCGGTGAAAGAATCAGGGAAATAATTACTGAATATTTAATCTTAGCCAGAAATGTCTATATTTTGCTAATTTTTCACCATGTGTCAGCAGCACTGTAAACAATAGCAATTACAATAGTTACTTGGAATTGGATATCTAAATTTGTTAAATATTACACAGTTGGGAGTATATTATATTCATTTGCTCCCGTTTGTTTATATTTTAATATCTTGAAAAATGTCATATATTATTTAGCGCTATATTCAATATTTTACCATCTATATTATTACTGTCCACCAGACTACTAGAGAGTTACTTAAGTGTAATACTGTAAGTTTTGACTTAAGTGAAGACTCAAAATATTTTGGAGAAACTGGGTCGGCAGGGGGCAGCACAGTCTTACAATGTATAAAATGTGGTCATTTGAATGACCATTCAGAAATAAGATATAAAGATAGTGTAGTTCATGGCTTTTCAAGCTTTTCAAGCATTCAGACCCTTTATTTCAAATGAAATATTATTTATAACTCAAAAAAGTAAGGCAGAGAAAAGTGATATTTTACTAACAAATCTTATTTTATAATATTTACTTGTAACATCTGTTAATACTGAAAATGATAGGGTTGTTTTGATGAACAAAAAATTGAGAATAAAATTTTCTAGAGGGTACTGTTACTATATTATTTTTATAGATGAGGAAATTGAGTCTCAAGGAACTTTTAAAACATGTCCAAGGTCACGCAGATGGCAAAAAGTTAGAGCTTATTCATAAACTCAACTGTCTTACTCCAAAGCACAGGCACCTACAGTTATGCAATTGCTGCTAATACGTTTTCATCTTGCTGCAGCTCTGAAATCCAGTGCAATGTATTTCTTTTGTTTTAATTATACATTTTAGAGAAAACTCTGATTCATATAGATAAGGAGTTACAAATGATAACTTTGACAGCTTGCTCTTTAAACTTCAAATATTCTCAATTAAACAGAAATGACAGGTAAATCTTTAGTCCAAGATACAAATAATAATACATTAAATTTATTTGCAATACAATGTGTTCCCTAATATATTAACAAGTGATATAACTATTAAGGAAGTAGACATAGTTATTTCACCTTTTTTAGATAACTGAAGTATGGAGATGCTAAATACCTTACTAAAGTCACGGTCCTGTAACAGACCCCCGTAAATCTGACTGCAAAGTTTCCTTTCCTTACGAGTACACTATATTGCCTCTATTATATTACTCATTTATATACTCGTATTGTTCTTATTTTAATTTTTAAATAGTTAAAATTATATTTTTAAAATGAAATTCAATAGATTTCACTAACCACTGTTGGAAAACCAATAGTCTATGGATAATTATAATCCAAAACATGGAAGACACTTAGAAATCATTTGGGGCTGTTATATTAATAATTTAATTTATTTCTATTTAGTTTTCTAATAATAAAAACATTTATATTAAAAACAGATTCAAATCATCTCATTTAAAACAAATTCATTAAAGGGAACATATAACATAATTGGATATATCAACTTGTGTAGGAATAACTGATTCTAACACTCTATATGCTGAGTGACCAATTTAAAAAGCTCACACTTCCCCCAGGTGTAAATGTGAGAGCATTTCTGGGATACGGAGTCTTTAGCAACCCAATATGTGTCAGCAGTGACTCAGATATCTCAGAGAAAGAAGCTTTTTGAAATTTTCAGAAATGTGATAGACTAGTAAGAAATCAAGGAAGTCAGCTACATTAATTTTGAAGCACAATGTGTAGTTCTTAGTATGCGCTAAAGGTCTGTAGGTTAGAAAAATCTTACATGATTACTACAACTATAACGTGTCTAGATCAGTAAGATTGATTATAATAAAACATTTTTAAGTCTATGTTTTGCTACAGGGTAAAAAATTGCAATTTTTTGCTCAGGATATAAAATGTGCACAAAGCAAGTATTATCTCAAGTAAAGACTTATCTATCACTAGCACAGCTAAGTAAGTTGTGATCCCTGCTCAAGCACTCAGTCATGCAGCATATTTGGCCTTATTTTTTGAAGATGTATATCTGAGCATGTTACTCCCCAGTTCAAAATGCCTCTCTTGCTTCCATTACTTGTAGAGTAGGTCCAACTTTTCTTACCACCGCATTTCATGTCTTTCATGATTTATTATTTTCATTCAGCAATATTTATTAAGTGCCTGCTGAATGATAGGCACTGTACTAATTTGAGGACATACAAAGATGAATAAAACAAAAGTTCTGCCCTGAAGGGACTCACAGTCTAGTGGGAAAGACAGACAAAGCAACAGTTACAGGACAGAAAGTCTCTAATAGAAATATTCATATAGTGCTGGATGAGTAAAATTTGGCTTCAATCTTCCTTTCCATCTGCATTTTCCACCCCCTCCCCATATACACATGCCACTCCAGACCAGTTTACATTTACCAAACGTGATACCCACTTTTGGGGGCTTAGCTCATACTTTCTTTGTGTGAAATGCCCTTCCCTATGCCTGCTGAAATACTATTAGGACCAACTTCAGGTATCTCCAGAATATTGTTTCTGTTACCAGAGTTAATCATATCCACATATTTTCTCCCATAAAATCTCTAAAGGCAGTTTATCATAGTCTGCCTTGAAATCAGTTCATCTATTCCCTAGTACAGTGCTTGTGCTGAACAGACATTGAATATACTTTTCTACTGCTGAGTCTCTAAATAACAACTTTATTTCTAGTCTATTCTGTTTCCTTCAGTAAGATAAAAACAGTATGGCCCGGCATGGTGGCTCACATCTGTAATCCCAGCACTTTGGGAGGCTGAGGTGGGCAGGTCACCTGAGGTCAGGAGTTCAAGACCAGCCTGGCCAACATGGTGAAACCCCATCTCTACTAAAAATACAAAAATTAACCGGGCGTGTTGGCTCATGCCTGTAGTCCCAGCCACTTGGAAGGCTGAGGCATGAGAATCACTTGAACCCAGGAGGCAGAAGTTGCAGTGAGATCACGCCACTGCGCTCCAGCCTGGGCAACAGAGTGAGACTCGGTCTCAAAAAAAAAGAAAAAACAGTATATGGCCTATTTATTATTTTTGCAACTGGCCTGAAGTCTGGTCACAAATAAAATGAATTAGGATTATAAAATGAATATGAATGTTTCTAAAAACTGTTAAACAAAATGTAAACAGTGTATTAGGTACTACAGTATAATGGATACTGTTGGTTTTCTGCCCCAGGTGTAAATGTGAGAGCATTTCTGGGATACAGAGTCTTTACTATTTAGCAACTCAATATATGTGAGCAGTGACTCGGATATCTCAGAGAAAGAAGGTTTTTGAAATTTTCAGAAATGTGATAGACTAGTAAGAAATCAAGGAAGTATGTATATACTACATATATACTATATGTAGTATATATGGTCTATATGTGTATATATGATGTACATACGTAGTATATGTATACTACATACTATATGTTATATATACTACATATATACTACATACATACTATATGTATGTAATATATACTACATATATATACTACATGCATACTATATGTATGTATGTACTACATATATACTATATGTATGTAGTATATATGGTCTCAGGAGATCGAGACCATCTCCACTACTTCTTTCCTTAAAAGAAATCCTATTTTGTTCAGGAAGCCAAACTTAGGCTATACAATTCCCACAGAAAAAAATAATTTCCATTGAAGATGAACTCACATTTTAAAAAGTATGAGCAGGAAGAATTGGTCCACCATGAATGACAGTAGATGCAAGAGAAAGATGTGTTGGCAGCTCTAGAACTAATAGGGCTCTGTGAAAGACATTATAAAATAAATATGCTTTAATAGAATAAAGAAATAAAAGAAGTAATAGAAACTACAAAAAAAAAGAATAAGACAATGTGGGAAAAGAGGCTGATTTAAATAAGGGCCATATTGAACTTCTAGAATGAAAAAGTCATTAAAAATACAGTCAATGAAAAATATGAAAAAGTTTTGGAGAGTGGAATAAGAATGTTAAGCATATTTTCCAATAAGGACTCCAGAATGTGAGACTAGAGAAAATGAAAGATAATATTTAAAATACATAGATCATCAGATTGAGAAATTAGAAGTTTTAAACAGGATTATTAAAACTGAGTCCACACCCATAAAAATTACAGTGAAAGGATAAAATACCAGACAAAATGATAAAAGCAACCAGAGAATATATAAGGGAACAACAATTTGACCAACAGCAGACTTCTCAACAGCTACAACAAAGGCCAGAAGGCAGTGCAGTAGTGTAACATACTACATGCTAGACATTGTTCTAAGTATTCAGTATACATTAATGAAAAACAGATATAAATTTTGGCTTGCATGAAACTTAATTCTAGGTAAAGAAGAGAGAGATAAACATAATACAATAAGTATAGGGTATGTGAGAAAGAGATAAGTACTGTGGGGTGGAGGGAAAAACAGGGTAAGCAGAATTAAGAGTGCTAGTGAGAAAGGAGGTGTACTATTAAATAAGGGTCAAGGTATAAGGCTCATTGGGAATGTGACATATGAGCAAAGACTTGAAAGAGGTGAGGGAGTTAACCATGTAAAAATCTGAGGAAAGAACACTGCAAGCGGATGGAGCAGCCCATCCTGAGCCCAGAGTGCGTGTGTTGTGTTCAGGGAGTAGCAAGGAAGTGCATTTAGCTAGAACTCCATGATTGAGGAGTAAAGTAGTAGGAGGTAAAGTAAAAGAGGCAGCCCTCTCACTCCAACCCACCAAAATCTATATTTTTCAATACTCAATACTCACACAAACAAAAAAAACTTCGTAAGTCAACTCAGTGCCAGAGAATAAAGCATAATTAAAATTGGAAATACTTACGCACAAACACAAATGAAAATACCTAAATTTGTGGATTTCAGCCCCTATCAGTATTATAAGGAAATATCTAGGCCAGGCGCGGTGGCTCATGCCTGTAATCCCAGCACTTTGGGAGGCCGAGGTGGGCGGATCACGAGGTCAGGAGATCAAGACCATCCTGGCTAACACGGTGAAACCCCGTCTCTACTAAAAATACAAAAAAATTAGCCGGGCGTGGTGGCGGGCGCCTGTAGTCTCAGCTATGCAGGAGGCTGAGGCAGGAGAATGGTGTGAACCCGGGAGGCGGAGCTTGCGGTGAGCCGAGATCGCGCCACTGCACTCCAGCCTGGGCGACAGAGCAAAACTCCGTCTCAAAAAAAAAAAAAAAGGACATAACCACCAATTCAGTGGAGGTCTCAAAATTATAAGAGAATGACTCTAGGAAAATAAATTTGAAAACAAAATGTACAATTTTCTTGAAACATACAAATGTCTAAAAAGTGATTTAAGAGTAGTAGAAAACATGAAAAGAGTGATTATCATTAAAGAAATTCAGCCAGTAGCCAGAGTCCCCTTAAAAGAAAGAAAGAGGAAAAAAAGATGGTCGACTTTCAGAAGCAAGTTTTACCCAACTTCAGTGAACAAGTAACTTCTATGTTACATAAGCTATTTCAGAGAATGAAAAGGAAAGGTACCTAACTTCTCTTTCGAGGCTTATATAATTTTGACACCAACTAGACAAGAATAACATGAGAAAATTATAAACCAATCTCATTTATAAACATATATGCAGAAACCCTAAATTAAGCATTTTAAAATAATTCAGCAAAAAATATACACATATGCCTATATTTATACATATATATTCTTCAAATAGGTATTATTTCAGGAGACCATGAGAAAAGAAACTTATAAACTTTATAAACCAATCTCACTTATAAGCGTATAGGCAGAAATGCTAATTAAATATGTTCATATCGAATACAGCAAAAAAGTGCATATGTATATATACATACATATACATAAATTTTGATTATAGCAGGAATTTTTTTTTTTTTTTTTTTTTTGAGATGGAGTCTCACTCTGTCACCCAGGCTGGAGTACAATGGCATGATGTCGGCTCACTGCAACCTCCACCTCGCAGGTTCAAGCAATTTTCATGCCTCTGCCTCCCGAGTAGCTGGGATTACAGGCGCCTGCCACCACACCTGGCTAATTTTTGTATTTTTAGTAGAGGCAGTGTTTCACCATGTTGGCCAGGCTGGTCTCAATCTCGTGGCCTCAAGTGATCTGCCTGCCTTGGCCTCCCAAAGTGCTGGGATTACAGGCATGAGCCACTGCACACGGCGGATCATAGCAGGGATTTTTATGACCATTTCCACATGATGCTATGGTCAAACGCTGATAAAATATTTTGTTATTATGGTTATTTATGTGAATGTTCTATGATTCATTTTTCTTCTATCTTAAATCTTAGATATGTTAATTTTTAGTGTTAATATGTAGTGCTTAGGAAAGAAAAAGTGATCATTTTCTACTTCTATTGTAGCTCTTCCTTTCCTAACCTGAATGTCAGAGCTGTGCTCCATGAGTGTGGTAATATCGTGATTCTGTTTCATTGAACCATCTTTTCATCTTCCTTGGCTCCTGCAAGGCTAATAACTGCACAGCAAGAGCCTGTGGAGGGTACTTACAATTGGAGCAACAGCAACATCACCTGCTCCCCAGTAATGTGGATAACAGTCTCACTGAAGACCAAGGGGGAGAAAGCAGGGACAGACAACTCAGTTGAATGGGCTCTGTAGTTGACGTCTGTTTTTTCTGCCTAGCATTCATATCTTTCTTATGCACACAGTACCCAGATTTTGGTTGGGAGACTAACCTGCCCCTGTATTATGCTGAAGCGGACTTTATTGCAAAGCCCTAGAATTAAATCTCATGGGCTCTAAGCAGCAAGTTCCAGGATTTGGGTTTGAGCAAGTAGGATGCTGTCTTCCTCTTTCCCATGACACTCAGAGCTGCCGGCAACTAGGAGGGAAAAGTCTGCCAAAGAATGAAGCCAAATTTGGGAAACAAACCTGAGAAATGGATAAAGGAGAACTGGTTCCTAGTAACATGGGTTGAGGCCTGGATCAATGAGTGCCTGAAGCTGCCTGTGTACAAACTGTACAAAGCCACTGCTCACTCCAGTAGGCTGTCCCTTTGATACACTCGGTATTTTTACAAACCCTACTAAAACCCAGCCTGGCTCTCCTTTACGCTAGACTTACAGTGTGGAGGATGGAAAGGAGGTGGGATTTGGAGCAATCATGCTCTTTCTTCCTCTCTCCTGAAATTGCCTCTGGTGATCTCCTCCTTACCTAGTTCCCTGGGGCTAGGAAAGGACCCTGAGGAGGGAGCCTTGCTGCTAGAGATGAAGCTCATCATTAGCGGCAGCTCTAACTTTGCAGCAGGTGACTTCCCTTGTTTTAACTTCAGCACCCTCTGTGATCGCCCCATTTTCAGAAAAGTATAATGGAAGCATTTCACATATAAATAAAATTAAAAACTGAATGCTATCTTCCAGACACAGTGAGAATTAAGTTGCACAGACACTATTCAATAGATAATTCAATTATAGTAATTATCATTGTACAGTTCAGTAGTTTCACCTTAAAAAATATTGAACATAAGTAGTTACAAGTAAGCTGGAAGTAATTTAATATTAATAAAAAGCCCAGTATGTTAATAGGAATTATATTGTATTTTTAATCATATTGTTTTTTCTCTATGTATGTACAAGCTTCCACCTGATTTTAACCTATTCACACCATTAAGTAAATGTAATGGCCACCTTAACCACTAATTCTGGTTATGGTAAACATATAGAGTATATTCATTCCTCTAAAAATTACATATACTTTACTTTCACAGAATTACTTGTAATCCTTTACCCTAGGGCAGAAGACTCAGGGGGAAGGAGGGGAAGTATTAAAAAGAAGTAAAATATTATGCAAGATGGAAAGAAGTTTTACTTTGGGGAGCCTGTGGGACTGTTCTTTTAAGTAGACCTAGTTATGATTGGAATTTGTTTGACTTTGCATTAATCACCTGCAGCTACTGCTACCTAGGCAAGCCCCAGTTATAAATTAATGATGAGATCTGCAGAGGGAGTAGATGGAGATTCCTGAATATACACTGAATGGAGCAGCATGCCCTGAGGAGTAGTCTGAGGAAAGCTGCCATTTGGGCAGACAGCATCGATATTTAATTTGAGGTTGTTTGTTTTTGAGACAGATCTCGCTATGTTGCCCAGGCTGCTCTAGAACTCCTGGGGTCAAGTGGTTCTCTTCTGTCAGCCTCCCAAGTAGCTGAAATTATAGGCGAATGCCCCCCCCCTTTTTTTTTTTTTTAACTACAGTGGTTCTGTTTACATAGCTATTCTTTACTGCTTTTCTTGTACTGAGTGATCTCTTTGGACTGCCACAACTCTACCAACATTGAATTGACAGTTACACTAATGCCAGTGGAAGGGACATGAGATTAGCACTTTTTCTAGGGCATAAATTCATAATGAACTCTTCTAGATAATAGTTTCTTGTGTTATGTAAACACCACTATATTTCAGCAGGGCTTACTAAAATAGAATGTGATCAACAAGGATCTTAATGCTCTTGCTTTTTGTTTGGATTTGAAGATAACGATTTTCACAGCAGTGAAGTGGGGAGTGTTTTCCTTAAGATTGAGAAAGGCCTTTCCATCGCTTTCTTTGGGCATCGCTTTGTTTCTCAAAAGTGGCAGTATGACTTCTGTGTATAAACAACTATTAGGTTCACATCTTATCTGACAGTAGGTTAATGTGAAAAATACTATATTGTGAAAAATGTATCTCACAATATTCTAACAGATGCTGCTAGTATTATAGCCTAATGTAACAAATGCACCAAATGTGCTCAAGCATGTTTTTGACACTATTTTCATAAGTGATGATATATCCTAATTGAAACTTACTAAAATTGTTTTCTCCAACTGTCATGAAAACATACCAAACTATGTGTTTTGTGTACCCATGACTTAAGAATATAAAATGTGTATTCCTTTTGGCTTCCACTCTGTAGTCTACAGTTAAAAATAGGAGATTTTACCCTTCTGTATATTAGTCCAACAAGTTTGTTCAGGCTCCAGGTATGTATTAATTCTCCTTCATTACTTCTACAGCCAGTAGTAGGTTTAAACTCCAGGATTCTTTAAAACATTTTAAAAAATTTTAACTACATTGTTATAGGGAATACTGTTAGTGTCTTTTTTTTCTTTTCTTTTTAATTCATGGATTGGATCTCTTTGGGAATCTTCAAAGAAAGTTCTGTATATTTATTTTTATCGTTGTATATTCATTTGTGTATACTGTGTCTTTTCATCATGTAATTCTTTTCTTAAATCTTCTTTCTTGCAAAACCCAACACACATTAGAAAAGGGTAAAAAATGCAAGTGTGCAACCCATTTATCACAAAGCAAAACCCATGTAATTACCATCCAGGTCAAGGAATGAAAGAAACATTGTCTCACTAACCCCAGAAACTCCCATCCTGCCCTTCCCAATCACTGTTCTTCTCTCCCACCTCCAGAGTTAACTACAATTTTTACTTTATGTGAATTACTTTTTTGCTTTTCTTTATAATGTTACCACCTATTAATACATCGGGAACATAATGGTTTAGTTCTGCTTGGTTTGAGGTTTTGGTTTTTGGGTTGTTTGATTTTTTTGTTTGTTTTTTTTACTTTACATAAATGGAATTATGCAGCTGGTATCCTTTTGGGCCCAACATGTTTTACTTAAAATCACATTTGTAAATGTTATAATTGGTTTTCATTGCTGTATAGTATGCCATTGTATGAACTCAGTACAAACTATCCATTCTATTGCTTGGATCCAATATGAGTAATGCTGCTATGGACATTCTTTCATATGTCTCTTGATAAACACTGCACTTATTTCTGATGGGTATATATGTAGGGGTGGAACTGCCAGATCATAGGGTATGTGTATTTATAACATTTAAAACATTGGTATCACTCCACATTTCTACAAGAGAACTATGATAGTTCCCAGTGCTTTGTCCTCACCACATTTGGTATTCTTTTAGCTCATCTGTTTGTTGTGTAGCGTTACCTCATAGTTTTCATTTCCATTCCCCTGATTACTAATGAAGTCAAACAATTCAAAGAAACCTGCCGATATTTTTATTGGAATTGAATTTAATCTATGGATTAATTTGGAAAGAATGTTACAAAATTGAGCTAATACAGTAACAGTTTATATAGTACTTTTTGGTTTCTCCCAATAATGTTCATAGTTTTCTGTATAGAGGCCTTGCATATCATTTGTTACATTTATTCCTACATATTTTATATTTAAATGCCATAATAAATGATATTTTAATAAATTTTATTTTCTGTTTGCTTCTGATATATAGTAATGTATGGATTTCTAAATTTTACCTCTGTATACAACTGCAGTTCATCTGTAGATTTGTTCCTGTGTACATAATTATGTAATCTGCACATAAGGGCTTTTTAAAAAAATCTAGTCCCCTTCCAAATCATTATACTTTTTATTTCATTTTATTGTCTTTAGTAAGGCTAGGATCTTCACTAGCTGGTATCTCCACTACAGTGTTGACTAAAAGTAGTAATAGTTGGCAATTTCAAAGGGGAAACATTAACATTTTTTGCTATTAAGTACGATGTTGCATGTTGCTAGATTTGGTTTGCTGATGTATATTTAGGATTTTTTCATCTAGATTCATGAATGAGAAAATCTTGTAATTTTTCTTTTTTATAATGCCCTTATTAGATTTTGGTTTTAATATTTTGCTAAATTCTTAAAGGAAGTTGAGGAGTGGTTTCTCTTTCTCTAATATCTGAAAGAGTTTGTGTAAAACTAGCATTATTAATTAGAATTCACTAGTGAAGCCATCTAGGCCAAAGTTTCTTATTTTTGTTTTGTATGTGTATTTTGGAAAGGCTTTTAATTACAAATTCAATTTCTTTAGTAAGACTGTTTCTGAACAGTCTTCCAGCATCTCTTCTGGTTGGTAATAACTTTCTAGAAAGATGTCTATTTCAGAGGTCTCCAACCCCCCGGCCACAGACCAGTACCAGTCCATG